>NC_000011.10:31272121-31423636 GCF_000001405.40 Homo sapiens | reverse complement strand
CTGGCAAAACTACCCTATGATGGTGGGGGAAATGAGGAGTTAGTGGTAACTGGAAGAAGTCATAAGAGGCTTTCCAGGTCAGGCACTGTGGCTTATGCCTGTAATCCCAGCACTCTGGGAGGCCGAGGCGGGTGGATCACCTGAGGTCAGGAGTTCGAGACCAGCCTGACCAATATGGTGAAACCCCATCTCTACTAAAAATACAAAAATTAGCCAGGTGTGGTGGTGTGCGCCTGCAGTCCTAGCTAATAGGGAGGCTGAGACAGGAGAATTGCTTGAACCCAGGAGGCAGAGGTTGCAGTGAGTCGAGATCCCGCCATTGCACTCCAGCCTGGGTGACAGAGCGAGACTCCGTCTCGAAAACAAAAAACAAAAACAAAACCAGAGGCTTTCTGGTTAAATGGGTGTGTTTACTGTGAAAATCCATCAAGCTACACACTTAGATTTATGCACTTCTCTGTATGGATTAAAATTTTTAAAGTTTTAAAGGTAGTGTGTTGAGACTCTTAAGTGGCTACATTTTTAAATAGAAATAAGCAAATAAAAGGAGAAAGAAGAAATTCAAGAAAGTGTATATTCTTTGAAAGGATGGTAATCTAACAATTTCTGAAAAAGGCTAGGGGTGATTAACTTGGGAAAATTGGATCCCTGGAGAACTGTATAATGAGCAGACGTGGTACACACAAGTAAAAGGTGAATCTAAATGTGGGCAGTGGGGGGTGACCAAGATCCTTTGTTGAGAGGCAGGTGTCCAAGGATGGGGCAACAGCAAATTCCCTCTCCTCAAACCCCACTACAATTACAAAGAAGGAGCACAAACAAATCAATGTGTTTTTTTTTCTTTTTAAACAATGATCTCTGCTTGTCCACCATTGTGGTTATAATTAAAAAACTTAATTCTTCCCCATCCTCTAAAGTAACTTACAGGAACCCTGTAATTAGCTTTAATAATTGTCTACTAATCAGGCATGGCATTTTCAAAACAGATAAGTTAGTTTTCTTTTGTAGTATTGCATATTTTTCTCTTGTAATAAAACATTTTAATAGGTATCTAGAAAAGTAAATCCTATCTCCTAAAGTTCCCCTGTTAACATGACACTACTAAAAGGGTTGAGAAAACATAAACTGATTTAGAGAGTGATTTAATTAAATGAACAGATCCAAGATATTAAATCTGGAATTTTTGACATAGAATGGTAGTAAGCATTTTGAAACAAAATACGGCCATTCGGAAATAAAAAGCATTGTCTGGCATATGGTATACTCTTATAATGAGTCCAATGATACTAAAAGATTCCTGATTCTTTTGAAGTAAATGGGTTCAACTTTTTCTGAGGTATCTAGGAACATTAAGGTCTGTTCATACCCTGTGCTGTGCTTACAAGCTTAGCCAAATATGGAAACAAGAAAAACTTCCAAATCTATTTACATAAAGAAGTCAGTACATTATAAAGAGAGGTTCTTGAGAAATATAATGTTAAAATCAAATAATGTATGTGCTTACTTGAAAAAGAATCTTTCAACCTTTAGAAGTATAGGCCCTTCTGACCTTGTGTTCTATTGGATTTGTCTGACAACAAGAGGTGAAAGAATTCTGTGGCTCCATTGTCTCAACAGTGGGATCTAAGAAAACACTGGCAGGACTCATCAGAGAGGTTTATGAGCCTGCAATTCAAAGAGATTAAAAGGAAAATCTACGGAGATTCTTTCACACTGAAGAATAACATTAAATAACTATTAGCAGCTTGGTTCAGTAAAGCTTACTAGAGCTCTCGCTGGGTCATTCACAACTTTCTAAAAGAGGAAAGGTTTTTTTTCAGCTCCATTTGGGAATCAATAAATATTTCTTACTTCTTACAAGACAATGGAATTCCTGTCTTTTTAAGCTTCCTCCTAATGATAGTAAAATTTCTAAAACAACTCTTTGTTTCATGCCTAAATAATTACATATCCTAATCCCAGGAAACCTTTTCTATCTGTAGTTACAATTTAAAAAATAAAGTAAAAATAAAAAATAAATAACAGCAACAAAAAGCTACAGGGGAGAAGAATTTAACTTTATTCATTATGGCCAAGATATTTTGAAGTCTCATTCAACCCCATCTGGCCAAAAGATCAAGTCCACCTGCAGCTCTGTCCATAATATTCATGTGCGGCAATGCCATGTTATTCACATGATCATCACATCCCCACGATGCTCTCATTTAGCAATTAGTCCACTGTGTTTGTTTATGTCATTTCAAATGTTTAAAGTTTATTTCAAACTTAAAGACACTGGTGTGTAAGTTAAAAATAAACAACAGTTTTTCCTTTAGGTCTAATTCAGTATCTTGCTCTCTTAAAACCAAGTAATTTAATTTTAAACCATCACCTCATTCTTAACACTTCACTATACATAATTACATTTTTTATGTGGGAAGTAACTTGAACATAATCAGTTTCCTTGTCTTTAACATGCCTCTGCTCTTGAAAAATTCTCTACCTTGATAAGAGATTGAGAAATAGGCAACATTTAATTGGAAGCCTGTTCTTTAAGTCATAAACCCTATAATCCTTTCCCAGATGAAACTGAAGAGTGATTATTACAAGGCTTTCCACACTGAAGAAAAACTACAAACTTGGAACCTGATTATGAACTTGAATAACTGTGGAGCTTTTATAAACTGTAGGTAAACCCAGTGCTCACTGAAGGTACCAAATGAAACCCACAAACTGATTTCCTTCTGCTTCACTATAAAACAGGTAAAACAGCAGCAGAAGTAGGCCTGGTATCTTGTTCTGACCCTCAAATATCCCTCGTACGTGACTATCTGGAACTACAAATAGTAGATTGTACACAACTCATACAAAATAGTGATTGAGAAAAAATGGCTTTGAATTCCCCCCCGATCAACTACTTTATGTGACCTTAGTCAAATTAGTAAACCTGAAAAACAGATATTCTCTGAAAAACAGGTATTAATATCTTCCTCACAAGGTTGTTAAACAATGTTTAAAAGAACTACCACAGTTCTAGTGCTTAATAAAAATCACAGTTATTTTTAAACTGCTGTTATCTCTCACTGTTTGTGTTGAGCTATCTATACCAGACCATAAGAAAATGACTAAAAACCAATCCATTATTAGTAGGAGAAAAATACCTCAAGTACCACAGTGTAGGAAGGCAGCAACTCTTGACTTTGGATTTATAAGTGCTGAAGTCTGAAGTACTCTGCTATTGTAGGTCCCAATAAAACGGACCTACAATTCTGTGTCTTTAGTTCAGAGAGCACAAATTAGATGGATTAGAATACCAGAAGGCTCTGGTGGGTGGTGGGAAGTTGGGAGTAGGGGAGATGGAAGGACCTAAGTTGAACCTTGAACAAAGAATAAGAATCAGAACAGGAGGATGGTTCTGATTAATAACAAGCAGTATAAACAGACGTGTGTCTGGGAGCCTCTAAATGGGCCAGGGGATAAAATTCACATTAGGTTTGAAATAGGTAATAAGTCGGAAAAAGTAGCAGGGACAAGCTTAAAAGCTTCTGTCCCATTTAAATTCCAGGTGAATGGGTAGGTGTTATTTTGGGAGGGTATAGAGTTATAAATGTTCTTAAATAGAGGCATGAGAATAAAGAAAGCTGCTAGATCAATCAAAATGTAAAGTACTGTGAGAGAAGGCAGCAATAGAGAATGGAAGGCCAATTAGTGGCTATGGAAATAATCTGGGTATGTTTTATAATCTGGGGATGGACTACTGTGGTAGTTG
Organism: Homo sapiens; assembly: GCF_000001405.40. Lineage (NCBI taxonomy): Eukaryota > Metazoa > Chordata > Mammalia > Primates > Hominidae > Homo > Homo sapiens. The sequence goes on along the minus strand of NC_000011.10, from coordinate 31,419,888 downwards.
TGAGAATAAAAGCTCACACAGGGGAAACAACATTAAAAAAGAACAAATGTCAACTGGCATTTCTGATTCATTGACTGTAAATGGAGCAAAGTAGAAGTAAGCAGAGTGTAATATGAAACCAAGGTTGAGGAAAAAATAAGAAAGCTGACTCGGTCAGTCTTGATTTTGGACCCACTGATTTCAATTGGGTCAAGTAACCAAGTGGAAAGTTGGGAGAGTGGTTAAAGTTGGAAAAAAAAAACTTCCTAAAATCTTAGACTGCTCCACTATTAAATCAGAACTACCAAGTCTGTTCAAGTGTCCCAGAATTATAACTGTAATCTTGCCTATAGGTCTCTATAGCATTATTTGAAGGTAGCCAAATTTTTACTCAAAACCAATGAGAAATGATCCTAAAATACATTTTCATTGCACAGTTATTTGCATTCAAGTAAAAGTAGCAAGTAATGTGAGTAGTCATCTTGCAACAAGTAAGTTGGGGCGAGGGAACCTGCACAGAAAGTTTTATCTATACTGTCTTCTCCCACTCAAGATAAAGCCAGTCCCCAACTGTCAAGATGGATTTTCTGCATCATTTCACATACTTACTTTTCTCAGAAACGGTCACCAAAAAAAACATACCCCCCGATGCTTATCTTCCAAGTTTTACCTGAAGCAAATTTTTACAACTAATTTTGAAATTCCTAAAATCAAATGGAAATATTATGACCATAAATGGACCCTAATCTCACTAATTCAAGTATTTTGTAAGGGTCAGCTTTAGGACATAATTACACAAATATCTACTGGCCTTAAGTTATTATTCCTAACAGTTAACCAAAATTTATATTATCTACATATTTCCCTCTTATGGAGTTTCTATAACATTACCATTCTTTTCAGGAAGGATTCTTATTTTGAGTTTAAGAAATTACATGTTGATTTATCTGATACTTGTTGGTGGGGTTTTAAGGTATGTTCCTCATTTGTTTTAAGATTTGCTTATATTTCGTTCCATTTATCTGCTTCCATTTATTTGCTTATCTTCCCAAATATTTATCCTAATAAAGGGATGGAGCAAATTGTGTAATACAAACCAGAAATGACCTCTTGTATCTACCTAAGCAGAGTAGCTGATTAGCTTTGAGCAAAGGCACACTCACTTTACAGTATCTGGCCCAACCTCCTCTGAGCCACGCTGTTTTGGGTATCCAATTATGTATAGTGAAGGTTCTACCTTACCAAAATAATTCACTAACAGAGTAGCTAAGATATATCTTAATATAAAATAATGTATCAGCAAGGATTCCAAACACAATCTATTCTTTTAAACATTATTTAATCTGATTAAATGTATTTCAAGGTTTGCTACTCTTCAGATCACAGAGAAGTACTTAACTCATAAGCTGTGTCACTGTATAGAGCCACTAAGACATCAGAGATCTGTGACTTTCACATTACAAAGCTATTGAATCATGACAACTGTTATTTTCCTATGATATACTTCTGATGTGTTTTTAATGTGCTTAATATATAAGGACAACTCCCCACAAGATTTATAAAGGCAACAAAATCTACTCAACAGGTATTATTCATGTGAACATTTTATAAATCCTGAAAGGGTTTTCCAAAGTGCTACCTAAACAGTAGGTCAATCTCCATTTAAAATTGAAATGCAAAGCCTAATCTTGAAAAACTACATGCCTTTCAGGGGAACACTGGAAGCAGCCTTTGGAGGCATCCTCAGAAACAATAAGTTTAATATGCCAACTAGAACTAATTGATTAAATTCAGAGTTAACATTGCTTTCGAAATGTATAATCTCTGGGAACTAATTATTACTCATTCTTTTCTTAAATTTACTTTTCTTCAGCCTGGCCAACATTGCTCTAAAATGTCAACTAAGCATATAGAAGTAGGAATGAAGGAGAAAAAAACATACATGCAATACTTTGGGTTATCTGCCCTGGAGTATTACTTTTTCTTTATTGGAAAGAACACATATGATCATTTCTTTTGAGAAGCAAAGAAATATGGACGTCAAGTGTCCCTTTAAATTATCTTTTAGATAAATATATGGCTGTGGGCAATATTGATGAGGCTTTCCTTAAGACAGAGCACCAACATGGAGCTATGAAACACGAGAAAGCATTCAAGACCAGCCAATAAAGCATTTCCTACCTCCTTCCCAAGTACTAGAGAGCTCAATTTTATTTTATACTGCAAGTTAATGGTGGGCAGGAAACAAACATATTTAAAGCACACCCCTATGAAAAGAAAGGTTTACAATGAATTATCACCACATGTAAAAAGAGTTCTGTATAACAAAGCTATTTCCATGTCCCCAGGGGGTGACCCAGAAAAAAAGAGTGCTTTGACCTGGTTATAACAAACTCTCTCTCTCGGTAACCTATCCTGGTCTTTAACAAATTATTACTCTCAAAGGTTTTCCTTCTAGCAAACCTAAATCCTCACTTTTAGAGATGTTCAAGTTCATTTCCTTTTTTTGAGGAGCCATTTTACTGAAGCTGAGTCAAGAAGAAAAAATTAATAACGGTATTCAAAAGAAATAACAATATGAAAGTAGGTTTATTGTAAGAGTTTTGAAAAATAGCTCTGGTATGAAAGGCTTAAAAATAGCAAGTTATATTTGGATACTCTTCTTACCTAAACAGTATGTCAATCTCCATTTAAAATTGAAACAAAGTAGTGTCAGTATTTGGAGCCTCTGGTAAAAGAGGCAATACTTAGTACTTAAATCTGAGGTACTAAAGTGTCATGAAAAGCTGTCCTTCTAGAACAGCTAAATTCAGTAATATGCTGCCTGAAAAACTTGCAGAGCAAACTGATATTGTATAAATTCCAAACTATTTATCTGAATCATGAATCAGGTCCAACTCTCACAGTATTTACTTTGTCTAAACTTCATTGTGACTTCATCTATGACCTACAGGAGTACCCTGTGACACAGTAGGCCACAGGTGCTTCCATTAAGATCTTAAAAGTAGGACTCAAAGCTCAAAAGAAATCCGCAGTTCCAAGGACCTTTCGAAGACAATGAAAAAGGCATGAATATGATGATTATTTGTCTTCTGACATCTCTCAAATCTTTCTTCATGCAATTCTCTGCTAACTTTTAACCTGGTTTCCTATTTCTTTTGGTTTCTGGCCTACCCCACCCTGTAGCTTCTTGAGAAAATATTTTTATGATTCCTGATCCCTCCCTACCTCTTTAGAGAGCAGGCTTCTAGTCAACTTCACTAATATGTTCTTAATAGTACACAGGCTGTGGAGTGGCAAAAATGTAGAGCAACATTGAAAGTATATACCCTATACTCTTTAGGGTACAATGTCGTGTGAATTATTTTTATCTCAAGCAAACTGGCATCCTATATAGTAGAGACTAGTAAAGATGTGCAAAAACACCTGAAAGAATCATCATCTTCAGTAGAGCGTAGTGGCTTTAGGAATGTAGATTTCTTCTAACACACAACACATTCATGTGCATTAGTTTCAATTCTTTCATAGAAATCATGTGAACCAAGGTTAAAAAGATACACCAACGGGTAGAACTTATCATCAAACGAAGCCACTTCTACATTCTTTTGCAAAAAGTACAAACATGTTTAAAAAATAAATACATTAGACAGATGCTCATTATGCACCCAGCAAAAGCAGAACCCAATATTCAAGCCATTTTTGAAAATTAACCTTTGCTTTGAAAAGCAAAGGTACACCCATCAGGTTCTTAATATTTAAGAAAAAAATAAGCTCATCAGTCTTTTAAAAAGTAGTAAAGCCTTTGAGCTGATTAGTACTATAAATAAGTCACTCTTATAAACAAATACTCCAGTACATAAACAGTTCAAGTCTTTCCACACAGAAGTATCACACAGCCTATAAGAAACCTTAATTTTCTTGGTAGAAATCCCTCTGAAAATAAATAGGGATGTCTTGCAAATGTCACTGGCTTCATCTTATAATGCTGTGTTTTAAAAATAAAGGCTTGCTTCTCAAATCAAATTTTCATAACCTTAGTACTAACAAAGCCTCAGAATCATTTTGTGAGGTCTGATGGTGTGCCATTGTAGGGCATGGGAGGGGATTCAATAAGCGACTACGAGACAGCTTTTATCAACACATCCCAGTCAATGCTGAGCCTGATATGCTATTGGAGAGAGCGACTGAGTGTTTTCCCCACAGGCTGTAACTGATTATTGACTCCTCCCATTAGCATGTGGGGTGCATATTGAAGGTTCAAACACAAGGCTGAGGGACTCCTGTCCCTAGGCCAGTGCTGAAAGACAGCCTATCACTTCGTGTAACTGCAGTCCATGTGTGACAAACCTGACCTACATTTCCCTCTTTCTTTCTCATAACAGCTTGTCACTGTTTTAAAAAGCTATTTTCTAAAAAGCATAAAAGAAATGACTTTTAAAATTGCTTAGGTAATGTGCATTCCTAAAATATCATTTATACCAATCACAAGGAATAGTTTATCATGAAGATAATCATGAAACCCAGCCTAAAATGAGCTCAAAGACAGCAGAGTGCTTTATGATGTCATCTGATATATAGTATCTTCATTTGGATTGTCATTTATACTGTATAGTCTTAAAAGTACAATTAAAATGTTAATCCATATTTATTTTAATAAAAAGTTTTTAAACATATAAAGCATATTAGTTAGTAATGTGTAATTAAACATTTTTCAAATGTTATAAAAAGTAGCTTTCAAGGCTTCACAAGAAGCCACATCCTAGTAGTTTTGTTAACTTCTCAATGGATACACAATAGTCACTGCTAAGAATAGGGCATAATTAAAAACAGTGATGGAGGGGAGGAATAAAGGCAACAATAACACTTGGTGCAAATGCTGGAAAATGCTCCCCAGGAATGGCTGCAGAGTGTGCTTCTAAGAGTTGCCGATGTGCTGTGGCTCCTCAACACAAGCACCTACCACACCGCTGCAGGTCATACTCTCTTTTTGTCTCTTCATTTCCTAGAATTTTCCATGCTTGATCAATTTCGATGAACTTCTGTACACATTCCTCCACTGTTCCTGCTGGTACATCTGTACTTTGTTTATCTGGATGATACTGCCAATCAAAAAGAAGGGTGCAGGGGGTGAGTAGAGAGAGCTGAGTGGGGTTAGATTTAAAAAAATTGTAAATCTGAGCTTTAGTTAAGAAGGTAATGAGAAGATGAAAACCAAATGCCAAGGCAATGAGACAACAGTGTTGGGCACAGGAGACAACTGCCAGGTTAATTAGACCACTGGACTAGCTATAAATCCACCAGTGACATGATCTGTCACAACGTGCAAAGACAGCATTTTCTGGATAATTTGTTCATGGAATCCTTGGTCTCATGGACAGTTTACCTAGAGAGGATGACTAACACAAATAGAAATAGGTACGTGCAGACAAGCAGGACATGAAACAGGAAGAGCACAAATTAGGCAGAGTATGAAGCTTTCCTTACACAATGTGCCTACCTATAGACAGCATTATAAAATGGACCACTAGGTCTTCCTTATGAAATTATACAATCGTAATTTTAAATAAAAATATATCTAATTATAAACATGACAACTTTCATCTTCTTCCCCAGCCCTGAAGATTATAAAGTTATAAATCCCCAAGCATACATTTTTATTAAAAACTGGTTATTCTAGGCCAGATTTGTAAGAAATAACTTTAAAGAATTCAAACATTTGGATGTAAATTAATTCATTAAAGAATCTTATGTGAATTTTCTAAAAAGTCTAAAAATTTTTGTTTTCAATATGCAGTAATTTATTTATACTACTGGGTCAAAACCAGAAGTTTTATGCCAATTCATAAATTCTTAAATGCTGATATACATGTAGCTCACTAAATAGTTATCCAGTAAGGATCACTTCTATTATCAGTTCTCCTATCTCCTTCCTTCCTTTTCTTCTATGTTCTCTGTGATTCTCCCTTCTCTTTTTATCTAACAGTTCTGAAAGGATCAATATGTCATTTGCTTTTCAGAAATCTCTCAACAAATGTGAAAAGATTATCTAAATTTAGAGACATTTCAGTGAAAAAATCTAGGGTTAACAATAGCACATATTCAGATATGTAAATTTTCTTACTCTCAAGTAAATAAGGAACTCCCAGCCTGCATGATGCTTACCAGGTTCTTTTGTGTAACCAAATATCAGAATAGTATTTGCTGTGCTAGAGAGGATCCTTAGCAGTGTGGAGAAGCTCACCATGAAAATGAATCTATCATTAAAAGATAGTATTTATGGCCGGGTGCAGTGGCTCACGCTTGTAATACCAGCACTTAGGGAGGCCAAGGCGGGCGGATCACAAGGTCAGGAGATCGAGACCATCCTGGCTAACACAGTGAAACCCTGACTCTACTAAAAAGTACAAAAATATTGGCCAGGTGTGGTGGTGGGCGCCTGTAATCCCAGCTACTCAGGAGGCTGAGGCAGGAGAATGGCGTGAACCCGGGAGGCAGAGCTTGCAGTGAGCTGAGATTGCACCACTGCACTCCAGCCTGGGCGACAGAGCAAGACTCCGTCTCAAAAAAAAAAAAAAAAAAAAAAGATAGTATTTATCCAATAATTACTTTGACAGTTTTATATTTTAATTTCAAAAAGTAAACTTAGGAATGTCCTTTTAATGTAGAATAGTTTTTTTTTAATTTCTTACTCTTTTTTCCAAGTTTTTACAATAAACAGGCAAGTAACCATGTGCACATTTCATGACTCATCAGTGTGGTTGGTTCATACATTCCTCAATTAATGGTACAATCATTTAAATTATTTCACTGACTGCCTTATAGACATTATCAGGAGCACAAAAAAAATTGCAAGTACCATGTCATTTATTATCTAAATTGCGAAGGCTAAAGTCACTCAGTAAATTGAGTCAAATACCATGAAGCGAAATGACTTCAATTCTCAATCTAGAATTTGTAATGTATGTAAGTTTTACTTAAATCACAGACTATTTTAAAAATAGATTCATTTTCATGCTGAACTTCTTCACACTTCTGAAATCCTCTCTAGCACAGCAAATGCTATCCTGGTATTTGGTTACACAGAAGAACCTGGTAAACATCATACAGGCTGGGACAAAGATTCTACGGCAAACAATGAGGATTAGGCTTCCATTTTCCCTTTGGCAAACTACCTCCCTTCCTATGAAATCTATCAGTTATCAACATTTAGATATTTAAACTAATATAAGCACTGGAGAAAAGGAAACTAAGGCTTTACTGTTTCATCTTCTTTGCCCATGATTTATCAAATGATGCTCATAAAAATTATTTCTATACTGAGGTTTTGGCAATCTCTAAAGTTGGGATATTAAGGCAATATCCCTAAGCCAAAGTGGAGTTGGCTGCATTAAAGTTCTCTAGCTGACCCATTCCTCTAACACTACACTAAGAATTGTCTAACAAGCTTAGTATAAGTAAATGTTATTATATGTAACATATTCAAATATGCCAGGATACATTTATGATACGTTTACAGGGGAAAACTCTTAATTCAGTATGTCACAAGCATTAAGGCCCTGGAGAACTTGTTCTAAATTTGTATCTATAAAGTAGGAGTAAAGATCAAAAGGTAGGTAATTTGTCATGGGCCAATATAGGAAGTCTGCTTGGTACAATGAATAGAAGAGGTTAGGCCTGATCATGCACCAATCTGACCCAGAAAGCCCTATAAAACCAGGAATTAATTCCTGGCTGCCCTAAACTAAAAAATATTATTAAATTTTATTATGAGTCACAAATCAGTTCTATGATAGTCAAAGTACAATTCAATCTCTTTCCCTAATTTGGTATTTTCCTGATTATTAATTGAAATAAGGTGCTCGCCATCTGAGGCTTTAAGTCTATTCAGATTCCATGACATTTATTTAATGGGTACATTCCATTAAAAAATGACACTTATAGCAAGAAAATAAGTATATCATTTGGGATGCTTAAAGCCTTGGTCCAATGTGTTTTGACAGCAACTTGCAGAGCAAAGTGAAGGTCTAAGAAAAGGAGTAACTGTCTGTGGTAGGCTGATAATGGCCCCCAAATATATAAAGTCCCAATATCTGGTACCTGTAAATGTTACTTTATTTGGAAAATGGGAGTTCACAGATATGATTACGTTGTAGTTCATGAAATGGGAAGATTTTGCTGGATTATCTGGTTGGGCTCTAAATGTATTCAAAGTGTTCTTAGAAGAAAGAGGCAGAGAAAGAGCTGACACACAGAAGAGACGGTGATGTGAAGACAGTGGAGAGAGAGAGATCTGAAATGCTGCCCTTGAAGACTGGAGTGAAGTGGCCACAAGCCAAGGAATGCCTGCAGCCTCCAGAAGCTGGAAAAGACAAGCAATGGATTCTCCACCAGATCCTCCAGAGGGAGTGCAGCGCTGCCAACACTTTGAACTCAGCCCAGTTATAATTATTTTGGACTTCTCCAGAACTATAAAAGAATAAATATTTGAAACCACCCAAGTTTCTGACAGTTTGTTTTTACTGCTATGAGAAATTAAAACCCAGTCCAAATATATTTATGATTTAAAATTGGAATGCAAGACACTAGAATGTTTTAAGAAGTTTCAATTACAAGGGCTACTCATAAAATGGTGTCATTACACACATTCTTAAAAATATGGTATTTTTCTCTATTGCCAATGGGAAAACAAGCCCCTAATCCTAGGTTTAAAGACTTTCCGATCTCAAAGTCTATGTTAATTTTGTTCCTACTATTTCTAAATCTGACCTATCCTGTGGGAGGTCGACTCATTATGATCCTAAAAGACCACAGTCATTTTCCTTCTGTTGTCAAGTCTTATTTTTTTTCTTGCCCTTAATTTCTTTTAATCCCCACTAGCCAAAGACCTTCCTACTCTTGAGAGCCCAAAGCTAGTCCCACTTCATTCATTCACCTATCAAATAAAAGACAGATGTAATCTAAAGCATTAATTAATATATCAGTTTAGGGAAAATGGACAAACTGATATATTAATACAATCCCTATCAAAATTTCAGCAGTAATCAAGACTGTAGTACTAGCATAAAGATAGCCTAGAAACAGACCATACATATATGGTCAACTGAGTTTCAACAAGGCTGCCACAGCAATTCAATGAGGAAAGGTAAGTATATAACAAATTGTTTCGAAACAACTGGATATCCCTGTGGGAGAAAAAATAACCTCAATCCTTCTAATTCCATAAACCAAACTTAATTCAGAATGAATCATACACATAAAAGTAATCCATAAAGGCAACAAGAGAATATCTTTGCCTCTTAGGGTAGGCACACAGTGCTTTGACAGAAAATAAAAAGCATAAACTGTGTAACACAAAACTGATAAACTGAACTTCATCAAATTTTAAAACCTTCTGCTCATCAAAGATACCACTAAGGAAATGAATAAACAAGCCACAGACTGAGAGAAAATACTGGCTGCATATATTTCTAACAAAGGACTTGTATCAGAATACATGAATAAAACCTATAAATCAATGATAAAAAGACAAAACTAATTAAAAACCAGATGAATAAAATTGAACAGATACTTTTTCAAAGAAAACTGATGAACAGACAGTGTGCACATGAACTTTTTTATTAGTTATTAGGAAATAAACTTTTTATTAGTTATTAGGAAAATGCAAATTAAAATCACAATGAGATATTACTACATATCTAAAAGAATGGCTAAAATAAAAATGACTGGCTGGGTGTGGTGGTGGCTCATGCCTGTAATCCCAGCACTTTGGGAGGCCAAGGTGGGCAGATCACCTGAGGTCAGGAGTTTGAGACTAGCCTGACCACCATGGTGAAACCCAGTTTTACTAAAAATACAAAAATTAGCCAGGTGTGGTGGCACGCACCAGTAGTCCCAGCTACCCAGGAGGCGAGGCACAAGAATTGCTTAAACTGGGGAGGTAGAGGTTGCAGTGAGCGGAGATGATGCCACTGCACTCCAGCCTAAATGACACAGCAAGCCTCTGTCTCAAAAAAAAAAAAAAGAAAAAGAAAAAAAAATGCTGATAACACCAAGTGTTGATAAGATATGAAATAACCAGAATTCTCATATACTGCTGACAGGAAACAATTTGGCAATTGCTTATAAAGTTACATATACATTTACTCCATGATCAATAAAAATGAAAATCACACATCCACGAAAAGATTCATAGAAGAATAGATTAACAGTCTTATTCATAACAGTCTTACTAAAACACTGGAACCATAAATGTCTATCAACTGCAGAATAGGTAAATACATTTTATTTAAATCCATAGAAGAGAAATATTCCTCAACAATTAAAAAAGAACAAATTATGACACACTCAATAACACAAATGAGTATCTAAAATATATGTTAAGTAAAAGAAGCAAGAACAAAAAGTACATACTGTATGATTACATGAACATGAAATCCCAATTTAGGTACATTTAATCTGTGGCGACAGAAACCAAAAAGTTGGTTTCCAGGTGAGAACAGGTAGTGGAAATTAAGAAAGAGGGGCATGAGGGAACTTGCTGGAGGCACAGAAATGTGCTATATCTTATTTGGGGTGGTATTTACATGATATCAAACTCACCAAACTTAACACTTAAGATCTGTGCATTTTTCATTTTATGTTGACAATATCAACAGAAAAACATCTTCAGACATGTCTAAATTTTTAAAAAGGAATTTAGCAAATCTTTCTAAGCCATAAAGGAAAAATAAGGAATTTCTTCCATTAATAGAAAAACAAGTACAACAGAAAACCAAAAAATTAATGGAAAAACTAACATGAATTAGTGAAAAGCTTGAATTACACACTAGTTTATGGAAATTGTTTTATTACTTTCAAGCACATTTGCCAACTCTAATAACTTCAAAACATTTTAAAAGGCTAAGCATTGTTGAGTAGAAAGCCAAAATGCATCCAAAATTAAAATACCATAAATATGTCACAATATTAGAAATACTGAGAGTGATAGTATCTGTGTGATTCTTTATTATACAAAGACATCTATTTCCAAAATTTCAGTAAAGTGCTATTTTATTACTCTGAAATGACTTCACACCTATAACTGTATGATCTAAGTAATTTCCTCAAATTTTGGGGAAAATTTTCAATTACATAAACTTAAATTCTTCTTTAAATTACCATATCATTCATTGAGAATAAGAAAAACTAACACAAAAATAGATTAAGAAACTTTCTTGATACAAAAATAAAGGATCATTCATGGTACTACAAAAGATATACAGGAAATGATATAATATTTCATCAGGATTGGTATGTGTTATCTGTTTTCTAAATGACTATTTCATGGATAAGTAACACTTCAGTTATGAAATCTTAATTCTCATCAGCTGAGATTTTATGGCAATGGGCTGTCCAGTATGAAATATTTTATTTTGATTTTAAAGTCTCTCTACATATTAAGTCTAAGTGCTTTCTAAATTACTAATTCCAGAGTGACTGTCACAATGTGTCACCTCAGTGCTACTCAAAATGTGGTCCTCAGAACTGCAGCATCAGCATCATCTGAGAGCTTGTTACAAATATCAATTCTTGGGACTCACCTCAAATCTTCAGAGGGAGGACTCCAGAATCTCTGTTTCACCAAGCTCTCCAAGCAACTGTTACGCGTGCTAAAATTTGAGAAGCACACTGTTTGCCTTGACTGCTTAAAACAAGGAATTCATGGGCAAGTCAGAAGATGAGTGCTTCACAAAAATTTTCCTGTGACAGATGCGTCCTTCCAAGTATGTACACCAAAAAGAGGGGGAAAAAATCCAATAACCTGTAACACCACAATGAAAATTGCAATGTGTTTCAAGTCGGAATTTTTTTTATATTTGATACCTTTCGTTCACTAATCATAAATGTCAACTTCTTCATTCCACTGTTTGTATTGATACCATCTTATGTCACAGATGAAGATGCTGATGAAATGTGAACAATATGCCAGTGGTATTTTAACCTGTTTATTTTTTTTTTTTTAAGAGAGGGGCATAATTTGTATCAGGCTTCACCTACTTAACACTAATGATGATACCCACTGATAAATTTAGCACAGAAACAAGTTTTTCAACTAAGAAATGAAGCATGTAAAATTATGAAAATAGCATCATACAATGCAGTGTGAAAATTCTAGCAACTTCTAAAAGATTTTAGTGAAAAATTTTATATATATATATATATATTTTTTTTTTTTTTTTTTTTTTTGAGATGGGATCTCTCTCTGTCATCTGGGCTGGAGTGTAATGGAGTGATCCTGGCTCACTGCAACCTCTGCCTCCCAGGCTCAAGCGATCCTCCCGCCTCAGCCTCCCAAGTAGCTGGAACCACAGGCATATACCACCGCACCTGGCTAATTTTTGTATTTTCTGTAGAGATGAGGTTTCCATATTGCCCAGGCTGGTCTCCAACTCCAAGACTCAAGTAATCCATCCACCTTGTGAATATTATATATTCATTAGCTCCAAATGATATTTTCTATTGGCTACACAACATATAAAGTTGAAATGAAATGATATTTCTTTACAGTAAACACGTAAGAGTTTTATGGTAAAGTGGCTACATATATTAATCCTTAACTACACACTTGTGATTGTGCTGTTTTGATACATAAAATATAAACTATACATAAGAAGTAACAATAAACCATGAAAAGGACTCTGGGCAAATCTGATTACACAGAAATCCCCAAATAGGCTAATATTACTTGATTTATCAATGTGGCACTTGAGGACATAGCACTTTGGTTTTCCCTATGTATTAATAGATGAGTTTTAGTACCATCAATAGGATGCTAGCTCTCTGTCTCTAGCTTCAAATTTTCTTGAATTCTAGAACCAAATTTTGAAATACTTTCTAGAAGCTACCTTGTCAGCACAAGTTTAATATGTTTGATATCCAATATATTATCCAGACTCTAAAATTTGTTTATCCTCCTGTTGAATTCCTTGCTCTGTTAAAAAATAACTCCACGCTCAATAAATGCTAAATGAATGGATGAGAGGGGAAAAATTTTTCTAATAATCCAGACTATCAATATTAGGGTAACCCCTCTTTCCCTCCTCCCATGAACTGCCAAATCTATAGATTATACCTACATAATTTCCTTTCTATTCCCAATACCAAACCTAGTACAGACCAACATTAGCTCCTAACTAGTCCCCAGCAATCATCTTCTAACAGCTTTCCAATCCATCTTACCTGCTTCAAAGTCACTCAACATAACTCTGACCATGTCATTCCCCAGCTCATAAATTTTAAAGGGCCAACTAATGCATAGTGAATTACAGTGAAACTCTTTATCCTTAAAAGTAAAGTCCTACAATATAAGAACCACAACCTACCATTCAAGCTTTATCTATTACAAGTATTAAACACTGAATATATAAACACCGTATTTTAACTATATCCATATCTGTGCAAAGATCAGCACAGTGCCTCTTCGCACAAGTATCCTTCATAAATATTTGTATATTTAAGCTGTGTGTTTAATATTTTCCCCAAAAGTACAAAATATGAAACTTACTGATTTTAGTCAGCAACATACAGGAGGAGAGATAAATTTTAGGTTTAGTCTGAGGTACTGCACTTAAGTGCCTTTTCTCTCATACTCTTTCCTAGTGAACAAGTATTTACTATGTCATTCTATTACATTGAAACTATGAAAAAATGATATGAAAATGCTTCAGCCCAATGATCTCCCTTCAAATACTTTTCAAATTGAGGAATGAGATATAGAGGAAACAAACACTAAGAGGAATGCATTCAAAAGAATACATTTGGAAAAAAAAAAGGATTTGTAGCTGCTATGATTTGAACGTGTGCCCAATCCAAAACTCATGTTAAATTTCATTGTCATTGTGACAGTACTAGGAGGTAGTACCTTTCAGCAGTGATTGGGCCATGACTGCTCTGCCCTCATGAATAGACTAATGTTATATTTCTGGAGTGGATTCCTTATAAAAGGCTAATTTTGGCCCCCCTTTTGCCTATGTAGCAGGCGCTTGAGTTTGCTAGTCATGGGATGGGACAGCAGTAAACAGAAAACTCTTGCCAGATGCTGGCCATTTAATATTGGACTTCCCAGCCTCCAGAACTGTGAGCCAATAAATTTTTTTTCATTATAAATGACCACTCTGGGTGCAGGGGGTCACATCTGTAAGTAATCCCAGCACTTTGGGATGCTGAGGCGGGAGGACTGCATGAAGCCAGGAGTTTGAGACCAGCCTGGGCAACACAGAACTCATCTCTACAACAAATTTTCATGGTAGCATGCAGTCCCAGTTACTCTGGAGGCTGAAGTAGGAGGATTCCTTGAGCCCAGAAGATTGAGGCTATGGTGAGCGATGATTGTACCACTATACTCCAGCCTGGGTGATGCAAAAAAATTGTCTCAAATAAATAAAAAGATTAGCTAGTCTGTGGTATTCTGATATAGCAGCATGAAATGGACTAAGACAGTAGCTATGAGACTTAAATATGGTCAAGGCCGAATCCTTAAAAAAAAAAAAAAAAAAATTCCTGGCTGGGTGCGGTGGCTCATGCCTGTAATCCCAGCACTTTGGGAGGCCAAGGCGGGCAGATCACCTGAGGTCAGGAGTTCGAGACTAGCCTGGCCAACATGGAGAAACCCCACCTCTACTAAAAATACAAAAATTAGCTGGGTGTGGTGGCACGTGCCTGTAATCTCAGCTACTCGGGAGGCTGAGGCAGGAGAATCGCTGGAATCTGGGAAGCGGAGGTTGCAGTGAGCTGAGGTCACACCACTGCACTGCCTGAGCAACAGAGTGGAGACTCTGTCTCAAAAAAAAAAAAAACAAAAAAAAGAATTCCTAATGCCGCTTTCTCTACCCTCCTTCTACTCTCCTGAAAGAAAACAGTTTTAATGTTTCACATACCAATTCTGTACTACCAAAAAGGGAATAAGTGTCATAACAACAAGAGATCAGAATCTCAGCAAAAAGAGACTTGGTTGGTGTTTGTGTTTTGGTTTTTTTTTTGCAAATGATTCTGGGGAAGGTCCCACTCAAGTACTGTCTTGCAATGCCCCAATATGACCACTGTTGAATTTCCATGACATTACAGTAGATACATATTCCAAACAGATTACCACTGAGGAATTTCAAAGAGCAGCATACACATAAACACTGAATAAAAGCTTATTATGGGTCATTTTTATTTAGAGTTTGCATGCATTTATGAGTCTAATAATCACTATTGCTTGAGGCACTCATTACCTCTAAAGATAATAAAAACTCATTTCTTCAGACATCTGTTGTGAAATAAAATTGTAAAGGTCAATTTGAGAGAATTATATAAATAATAAGGCATTAATAAATCTGACCACAATATCTGACAACTGAGACAGCACAGGCATTCCTCTCTGGGGTCTGCTGCTTTCCACCCCCAGCTTGCAAATAAAGGAAAATCTTAAGTTCCCTCAAGGAAAATTCAAGGCACTCAGCTAGCCCTGAGAAGTAAATGAGCAACTCAGTAAGCAAAAGGTCATAACAGCTTAAAATAATAGCCAAGGAAGTTAAAGTCACAAAATGTTTGGTTCCTTATGCCAGAGGTGTGTGAATCACAGCAACTCCATCTTGAATAGGAGCTGGGTAAAATGGGACTAAGACCTACTGGGCTGCATTCCCAGATGGTTAAGGCATTCTAAAGTCACAGGATGAGATAGGAGGTTGATACAAGATACAGGTCATAAAGACCTCACTGATAAAACAGGTTGCAGTAAGGAAGCCAGCTAAAACCCACCAAAACCAAGATGGCCACGAGAGTGACCTCTGGTGATCCTCACTGCTATACTCCCACCAGAGCCATGACAGTTCACAAATGCCATGACAACATCAGGAAGTTATCCTATAAGGTCTAAAAAGGGGAGACAGGAATAATGCACCCCTTGTTTAACATATAATCAAGAAATAACCATAAAAATGGGCAACCAACAGCCCTCGGGGCTGCTCTGCCTATGGAGTAGCCACTCTTTTAATCCTCTACTTTCTTAATAAACTTCCTTTCACTTTATGGACTCACCCTGAAGTCTTTCTTGCATGAGATCCAAGAACCCTCTCTTGGGGTCTGGATTGAGACCTCTTTCCTGTAACACCCAGGGAAACTAAAGAAAACATCTTAATATACGGCCCTGAGTTGTTTTTCAGAAACCTGGACCACCACCAAATGAATCTGCTGGTACACAGACTTCAAATAAGAAGAAACTGGAGACTGAACTCTGACTGTATTTCTTTGTTCTAAATTTCTTCCTGAGTGGCCTGGAGGAAGTCATGCCCATGGGACACACCTAATATTCTTTTATGCTGACCCCAAGTATTTACACAAAGCTCTGCTTCCTTAAACAACTGCAAATCAAAAAATGTTTGAATCCACCTATGATTTTGTAAGCCCCTGCTTCAAGATGTCCTGCCTTTCTAGGCCAAATCAATGTATATACTTCATGTGTTGATGTATGTCTTTGCATGTAACGTAACCTCTGTTTCCCTACCTTTAAAAACCCTTATATATAAGCCATAGAGGAGGTTGGGTCTTTAGCATGAGCTGCCCAATTCTCCTTGCTTGGCACCCTGAAAAAAGTGTCTCACTTTCTCTCACTACAAATCTTGATGTAACTGTTTGGCTTTGGTGAACCTGATGGGCAGACCCAAGTTCAGTTCAGTAACACAACTAGAAGAGCATTCCCCAACATTTTTCTTCATGAAGAAGAATGATACACACACACACACACACACACACACACACACACATGCATATATGCATATTAACTGAAAAGGACATTTGTGATTTTTAAGAATCTATAAAAAATTACCTTACTCAGGTCCTTTGGGAATGCTAGTGAATAGCTAAGAATTTAAAAGAGAATACCGTCATGTGCCAGATAACGATGCTGCAGTCAATGACAAACTGCATATACAATAGCAGCCCCATAAGATTATAATGGAGCTAAAAAATTCCTACTGCCTAGTGACATCATAGCTGTTATAATGTCACAGTACAATGCATTATTCACATTTGTAGAAATGCTGTTGTAAACTAACCTACTTTATAAACTTTATAAAGTGGAACCAGGTGTGGCAGCTCATGCCCGTAATCCCAGCACTTTGGGAAGCTAAGGCAGGAGGATCACTTGAGGCCAGGAGTTCAGGAACAGCCTGAGCAAGGTAGTGAGAGCTCATCTCTACAAAATAATTACAAGATTAGCTAGGCATGGTGGCACACGTCTGCAGTCCTAGCTACCCAAGAGGCTGAGGTGGGAGGTGCACTTGAGCTCAGGAGGTTGACGCTGGAGTTAGTTATGATCACACCACTGCCCGCTAACATGGGTGACAGAGCAAGACCCTGTCTCTATAATTTTTTTAAAAAACTTTGTAAAGTAAAAAATGTTACAATAAGCTAAGGCTAATTATTTAAAAAATATTTTTGTATAAACCTAGTGTAGCCTAAGTGTACAATGTTTATAAAGTCTACAATAGTGTACGGTGATATCCTAGGCCTTCACATTTACTAACCACTCATTGACACCCACAGCAACTTCCAGTCCTATAAGCTCTATTGATGGTATGGACCCTACACAGGTATGTATCATTTTTAATCTTTTATAGCATACTTTTACTGTACCTTTTCTATGGTTAGATATATTAGATACACAAATACCACTGTGTTACAACTGCCTATAGTATTCAGTACACTAACATATTGTATAGGTTTGTAGCCTAGGAGCAAAAGGCTATACCACAAAGCCCAATGTGTAGTAGGCTACACCGTCTATATATGGATGGCTTACGTAAGTGCACTCTGTGATGTTCTCACAGGGTGAAATTGCCTAACAACACATTTCTCGGAAAATATCCCGACCTTGAAGTGACACAGGGCTGTATCTAGTCAAAACCAATATGCTTTCCTAGAGCTCAGAATTTGGCTCCGTAATGTAACGGCAACTCTTGCTATGGAATCTTTGTGAATAATCCTATAAATTTATTTATGATGGAATCCTGCATTTAACATAGACAGCCCCATGGTTCTCAGAGAGTGCCTTAAAGTGATGTTTCAGTGTGCTTATGTGGCCAGCCACACTGACAGAACAATATGAAGAAACATACATCCCTTGGGTCTACTAAATCTCTAATGATTGCCTCCATTCTCCAGAAGAGCCATTTTAATACCATTAATATTTTTAAACAGACCTCTTGGTCTTCTGAACATATTTTTAAAACTTCTGCTAAATATCACTCTACCACTGACTGCCTTTGAGACAAAATTGAGAGATTGATTCTGAGATTCCTGATAGCTCCAAGAAGAAGAAGCAAAAGAGAAAAACAGAGGAGGAAGTGGGGGGGCGGAGGGGAAGCAGGAGGATGGGAGAGGTAGGCAGAGGAAGGGGAAGAGGGGGAGGTAGTGAAGAAAGAGGAGACAGCGGGAGAAGGGGAATAAGAAAACAGAAGAGGAGGAGGAAGAAAGAGAGGAAAAGGAAGGATAATGTTTTGAAAAAGAGAGAGAAGAGGCTAAAGAACACTGAAAGACAGTAAAGCTGTGCAATATTTGTGGTAGGTATTGGTGTTTTTCAAATAAAGAATTAAGATAACTAATTTACACTCCCACCAACAGTGTAAAAGCATTCCTATTTCTCCACAGCCTTGCCAGCATCTATTGTTTACTGACTTTTTCATAATCAACCATTCTGACTGGCGTGAGATGGTATCTCCTGGTTTTGATTTGCATTTCACTAATGACCAGTGATGATGAGCTTTTTTTCATGTTTCTTGGCCACATAAATATCTTCTTTTGAAAAGTATCTGTTCATATTCTTTGCCCACTTTTTGATGGGGCTGTTTGTTTTTTTCTTGTAAATTTATTGATGTTCCTTGTAGATTCTGAATATTAGACCTTTGTCAGATGGGTAGATTCTAAAAATTTTCTCCCATTCTGTAGGTTGCCTGTTCACTCTGATGATAGTTTCTTTTGCTGTACAGAAGCTCTTTAGTTTAATTAGATCTCATTTGTCAATTTTGGCTTGTGTTGCACTTGCTTTTGGTGTTTTAGTCATGAAGTCTTTGCCCATGCCTATGTCCTTAACGGTATTGCCTAGGTTTTCTTCTAGGTTTTTAATGGTTTTGGGTTTTACATTTAAGGCTTTAATCCATCTTGAGTTAATTTTTGAACAAGATGTAAGGAAGGGGTCCAGTTTCAGTTTTCTGCATATGGCTAGCCAGTTTTCCCAGCATCATTTATTAAATAAGGAACCTTTTCCCCATTGCTTGTTTCTGTCAGGTTTGTCAAAGATCAGATGGTTGTAGATGTGTGGTGTTATTTCCAAGGTCTCTGTTCTGTTCCATTGATCTGTATATCTGTTTTGGTACCAGTACCATGCTGTTTTGGTTACTGTAGCCTTGTAGTATAGTTTGAAGTCAGGTAGCGTGATACCTCCAGCTTTGTTCTTTTTGCTTAGGATTGTCCTGACTATACAGGCTCTTTTTTTGCTTCCATATGAAATTTAGAGTAGTTTTTTCTAATTCTGCGAATAACCATTGTGGAAGACAGTGTGGCGATTCCTCAAGGACCTAGAACCAGAAATACCATTTGACCCAGCAATCCCATTACTGGGTATATACCCAATGGATTATAAATCATTCTGCTATAAAGACACATGCACACATATGTTTATGCAGCACATTTACAATAGCAAAGACTTGAACCAACCCAGATGCCTATCAGTGATAGATTGGATAAAGAAAATGTGGCATATATACACCATGGAATACTACACAGCCATAAAAAAGAGTGAGATCATGTCCTTTGCAGGGACATGGATGAAGCTGGAAGTCATCATTCTCAGCCAACTAACATAGGAACAGAAAACCAAACACCACATGTTCTCACTCATAAGTGGGAGCTGAACAATGAGAACACATGGACACAGGGAGGGGAACAACACACACCAGGGCCTGTTGAGAGGTGGAGGACAGGGGGAGGGAGAGCATCTGGACAAATACCTAATGTATGAGGGGCTTAAAACCTAGATGATGAGTTGATAGGTGCAGCAAACCACCATGGCACATGTATACCTATGTAACAAACCTGCACATTCTGCATATGTATCCTGGAGCTTGAAGTAAAAAAAAAAAAAAAAAAAAAAGAAAAAACAGTTAAAAAAAAAAAAAAGAGGCTGGGCATGGTGGCTCACGCCTGTAACCCCAGCACTTTGGGAGGCCGAGGCGGGCAGATCACGAGGTCAGGGGTTCGAGGCCAGCCTGGCCAATATGTTGGAATCCCGTCTCTACTAAAAATACAAAAATTAGCTGGGCGTGATGGCGTGCGCCTGTACTCCCAGCTACTCAGGAAGCTGAGGCAGAAGAATCGCTTGAACCCAGGAGGCAGGGTTGCAGTGAGCTGAGATCGTGCCACTGTACTCCAGCCTGGGTGACGGAGCGAGACTCCGTCTCAAAAAAAAAAAAAAAAAAGAGAATTAAGAGATAGATCTGCAGAAACAGAATTCACAAAAATAAAGAAATGTAAAAGGTTAAGATACGTGGTTGAATTACTGAATCCATGGCAATTTATGGCAAAACCTTTTTTAAAACCTCTATAATATACCTTAAACTGTGAGATTTACTAACTCTAAAATATAATGTTATACCAATTCCTTTTGTTAGTAACATGCCTTTTTTCTCTTTTGAATATATGCAAGTGTAGCATAACCCCTGTCCTGTATGACTGCACATAAGATATAAAAACAATTTTAAATCTTGTGCAGTGGGTTACATAATATCCAATATAAATATAAACCCAGACACCTCCACTCCCCCAAAGCAAATCAAATAAGTCTTTGATGATATATTCAACACAAGCTACAGAGAGAATTCTGATATCAACCCTTTACCTCCAATTTCCCCAGATGACGATTAGCAGTAGGGAGGGTACTTGCTGACTTCACCTACTCTCTGGGTTCAGGGAAAAGATGTTTTTTTATACAATTAAGGACTCAAGAAACTGATGTCAAACTAAAGTCATCCCTGCTAAATAAGAGTGGCGATGTACACATACAGATCCTATAGAGGGGCTCTCCTACAACAACTCAGAGCTCTTGCTCTGGCCACCAAGGCCATCAGGTACTAATTAAGTAGTGTGTTCTGTCAACGCTTTCATGCTTTTCTTATATTAATTGATCTTGATCATTCTGCCATATTAATGATACTAGTTCAGTGGCTTTGAATTCCCTTGGGTGCTTTACCCCTGAGATGGGAAAAAAACAGTAAACAAGATATGAGAAAGAAAATGTCACAGATTATCTTTATCTACCTCTTATTTGAATCAATGCTAAAACTGTTTCCTATAAAAGTTATCTATTTCTTTTATTTGCAGAAATGTTCCTGTGGACCTAAAATGTACAAATATTCTTTAAATAAAACTTCAACTGATTTAACTTTATAAGCTACAGGAAACAACAAGTGAAATGAAATATACTAACATATATAGGTATACAGGTATGTAACATTCTCATATATAGGTGTTCAAAATTAATGATGGGATTACATGCATAAGGCTGGAGAGGTGGTAACAATCCTTAATTCTAAATACCTAATGATGAGAGAAAGTCAACTAAATGAAGCTCAATAAACAAGATAGGTGACCTTAATACTGACAGGGAAAAAAAAAAGAGTAAAAGAAGAAAAATAAAGCATTTAATAACTGTAGTTAAAGTCAATGAACTTAATACACTATTTTTGAAATAAAGGCCTAAGTAGGCTTCTTAGGATACCAAGAAATACATATTGGGCCAGGCGTGGTGGCTCACGCCTATAATCCTAGCACTTTGGGAGGCCGAGGCAGGAGGATCATGAGGTCAAGAGTTCGAGACCAGCCTGGCCAACATGATGAAATCCCATCTCTACTGAGAATACAAAAATTAGCTGGGCATGGTGGCACGCTCCTGTAATCTCAACTACTCGGGAGGCTGAGGCAGGAGAATCACTTGAACCCAGGAGGCAGAGGTTGCAGTGAGCTGAGATCGCACCAGCCTGGGCAACAGAGCAAGACTCCATCTCGGGGGAAAATAAAAAAAAAAAAGAAACACATATCCTCTGAGATAATTTTTGATTTTCATTATTGCAAATCACTGTTATTTTGAAGCAGCTGTTAAACAGTTGGTGAGGAAATGCTGTTAAGACCGTGCAGTTGTAATTCTCTAATGAATCTGAATATAGTTTAGACAGGCAAGAGATGCACATTGACTGACTTTGGCTGTGTTTTGTTGTTGTTTTGCTTTATTTTCTATGAGATGCTCACTTGCTTAAAACATGATCATGTTACAAAAAGTTAGGTATCAGAGTACTGCAATTGTGTCCTTTACACTTTGACACTGCATTAAGATTATGAAAGCTGAAAAAAAAAAAAAAAATCACAAAGGTAAAGTCAAGTACAACACACTACTGCCACCTATTGCTTAGTAAAATATTGCCTAAAGAAGCAGTCAACGATTCATTGATCTTTTATGCAAGTTAACAAATGAAACATGGTTTTTAAAATGTTTTTAAACTCTTTTAAGGTTTTGTGCTTCAGAGAAAATATAACCCACGTGTAAAACTGGCATCGTAAAAATGTTTATCCATCAAAAAAAATTATTTACTACCTTACAACAAGCCAGACATTGTGCCAGCCAATGAAGATACCATGATGAATAAACAGGGATCCCTATCCTTGAGGGACTCACAGTCTAGTGGTAAAGAGTAGGCATGCCAACAATTTATTATAATGCATTGGGAAGGATAGATGCATGAATAAGATGACAGCATGAGAAAGTTTTCACTTGGATAAGTTGGGGAAGGTTTTATAATAAAGGTGATATATGACTAGGTTTTGAAGGATGCATAGAGTTGGCTATGGAGAAACTGTGTAGGATTGGGAAGGAAAGGTATTCCAGGGAGAGGGAAGTAGCAAATACAAGGCAAGAAAGTACTAAAATGGGTATTAGAGTTACGAAAAGCAGAACTGTAAGTCAGACCAAGAATGAGTGAAAGAATGGTTGGATAGGGAAAAGGGAGATGAAGTTGAAAAGCTAGACTGGGGTCAAATCATAGAGAGTTTTTTAGTATGCCAAGAAATGTGGATTTGTTCCTAATTAAAACTCCACATTATTTTCATGATAGGGACATAATCATGTTTTTGTTTCAAAGACAAAAACATTCTAAACTGATAGTAGGATGGAATGGGTAAGAGGATAGATAGGGAGATTGGCAATAAAAAAACTACTGTGCTACTGTAGCCCTCCTGAGGAACTATGCTAAACTAAGGCTGCTGAAGATCAAAGGCGGGAGTCAGACAAGGGGAAACATAGGAAGCAGGGGACATAAATTTGGAAGTCACTCATGCAGCAGATAAAGCTAAAGGAATACACAGAGAGCAGTCTGTCTTAACCTTTTTGAGTTATGAACTCCTCTAAGAATCTTATAAAAATTTGCATATAATTGAGGGGCTAACCGACCTCCAAAGTCCCCTGAGCCTCAGATGAAGAATCCTTGATTTCCTTGTAAGTGAAGAGGGTCAAATAAAACTCAGAAGCACAGTGACATTTATATCACATAGAGGAATAGATCCTGGAAAAGAAAATAGAGCAGTGGTCAGACAAGCAAGAAGATAATCAGGAAAGACATGCTCCTGCCCAGAGAGGAAGAAATTTCAAAATTCAAGACTTACAACAGTATCAGATGTCACAGTAAATCCACTACATTTGGCAAAAAAGGAACACTGGCCACTTCGGTAGTCACCGTTTAGAAGACTGTCAGTGGTGAAATGGAGTGGGCTGAGAAGCCAATGGATAGTAGACAATTAATGTTTGGCAAGAAGAAAGGAGTGACAGTTCAAAGAACCAAGGTCAATGAAGAATTTTTTGAAGAGCTTTTACTGGATGAGTGGAAAAAGCTAATGGAAAGGGGAAATTAAAGATACAAGAGATAACTGGAGCAACACTGATTTTTAAAATACTAAAAACTGAGTTTTGATTCTGGTTCTGTTATTACAAATCTTGTGATCCCAGAAAAGTTATTCAACTGTATAAAATTTCCTTGTTTGAAAAATGAAAAGAATATTTGCCAAACTATAAGCTACTCATGAGAGTAAGGACCTTTGTCCACATTCACCACTAAATCCATAGCACCTAGCACAGTGCCTGACACGTTACAAGACCCTTAATATTTAGTCAATGAATAAAAAATATGTCCATATACTTCACAGTGTTTTGTAAAAATCAAATAACACATTATGAGTCAATATATTTTGAACAAAATTTAAATTTTTTAAAAATTGGGGTATACAGTCAGAATGACTATCATTTAAAGGTAAAAAAATAATGGATGCTTATACACTGCTAGTGGGAATGCAAATAAGTTCAGCTACTGTGGAAAGCAGTTTGGTGGTTCCTCAAACAACTTAAAACAGAACTACCATTCGACCAGCAATCCCATTATTGGGTATAAAACCAATGGACTATAAATCCTTACACCACAAAGACACATAGGACATGGATGTGTATGTTCATTACAGCACTACTCACAATAGTAAAGACAAGGAATCAACCTAAATGCCCATCAACGTTAGGCTGGATAAACAAAATGTCGTACATATATTAACACAACATGGAATACTATGTAGCCATAAAAAAAAGAATGAGATCATTCCTTTCCAGCAACATGAATGGAGATGGAGGTCACTCTCCTAAGTGCACTAATACAAGAACAGAAAACCAAGTACTGCATGTTCTCATTTATTAAGGTGGAGCTAAACACTGAGTACACATGGACACAAAGAAGGGAACAATAGACACCAGTTCCTACTTGAGAGTGGAGGGTGGGAAGAGGGTGAGGATCAACAAATTACCAATTGGGGGTACTATGCTTATCACCTGAGTGACAAAATAATCTATACATCAAACCCCTGTAACATGCAATGTAACCTGCAATAATGTTATAACAATACAAAACAAAACAGCTTTTTGTTTGTTCTACTTTTTTTTGTATTTTAATGCATGATTTTTGCTTTTACCTTCATATCAATTCCTCCCTTCTGCTTTCTTTTGATTTACTCTATTTTCCTTTTCCTAACTTTTTACCTGGGTGTTTAATTCATTTATTTTTTTCTCCTTATTTACATAAGTATTTAATACTATAAATTGTATTTGATAATTATTTTAGCTGTATTTCATAGATTCTAACATAATATTTGTTAAATATGGTTCCTTTTATTTTATATTTTTCTTTTGAGTCAAGAGTTGTTTAGAAACTTTTTTTTAACTTCAGAGTGCAATGGTATTTTGGGTTTTTATTTTATAAATATCAAACATCTGCATTATGAAAAAAAAACAGTGTGGTGGAAGAGGAGGGCCATCATAGCAAGCCCTCTAATATAATTAGTTGAACCTCGTTAATCACGGATTCCACATTTGCAAATTCATCTACTTCCTAAAATTTATTTGTAACCCCCAAATCAATACTAGCAATGCTTTCTTGGTCATTGGTGACATGTGCAGAGTGGTGAAAAACTTGAGTCACTTGACATGCATATTCCCAGCTGAAATTAAGCAAGGTATGCTATGCCTCCTTCTTTCAGCTCTCATACTGCAAGTATCCTTTTCACAGTCTATTTAGTGCCATGATTTTTGCATTTTTGTACTTTTTGTTGGCAATTTTGCCGTTTCAAATGGCTCCCAATTAGTGTAGTAAGTGTTGGTTAGTGTTCCTAAGAGCAAGAATCCCATGATGTGCCTTATGGGGAAAACACATATGCTTAGGTAAGTGTCACTCAGGCATGAGTTACAGTGCTGTTGGCCCTAAGTTTAATGTTAAATAAATCAACAATATATATTAAATAACATGTTTTAAACAAAAACAAACATAAAACAAGGTCTTTTATTGATCACTTGAGGAAACTGTTGTGAGCAGAGGCTCTCAGGAATGTAACCCTACATTTCCCCTAGGATCATTGTTTCAGTATTTGCTAATTCAGTGTTTGTGGCAACTTTGAAGAACATAATTACAGCAAATAACCAGAATAGATGGTACAATAATATAAATATATATTACAATTAATTTACACCTTGTCTTAGTCTACTTTATGCTGCTATAACAAAATATCTGAGACTGGGTAATTTATAAAAAACAGAAATTTATTGGCTCACAGTTCTGGAGGCTGTGAAGTCCAAGATCAAGGTACAAGCAGGTCAGAGCCCAGTATCTCTGCTTCCGAGATGACACCATGCACGCTGCATCCTCTGAAGAGGAGGGTTATGCTGGATCTTCACATAGCAGGGATATGGGCCAAGAGAGAGTAAGAGGGAACTGAACTTGCCCTTTTCTAATGGCCCCAATCCTACCCATGAGGGTGGAGCCCTCACGGCTAATCACCCCATAAAACTCCTACCACTTAACACCATTACAACAGTGATTAAATATCAACATGAGTTTTAGACAGGACAAATATTCAAACCACAGCACACCTTGCCTGCTTTTAGAGAGTGCTCTTGGTCTCTTCTCTATTGCCATACCCCACGTCCTTAGCTAAGAGGATCTGCATATAAGGCTCCTATGTGCCCCATTATAGGTTATGTTTCACTCCTCCTTGTAGGGGCTCAGGACACAAGAATCCCCTGCCCAAACAACCTGAAGTCAAGAGGAAGCTTATATCTCTGGTTAGGGGTAGAAAGAGAAGCAAGGTAGGATAAGTGGTAGCTGTCTCTGTACTGCTGTATTCGGGCATAGAAGCCGAAGGGCTCTGTCTTAGTCCATTTGGACTACTACAACATAAAAACCATAGACTGGGTTGCTTAAACAACAAAGATTTATTGCCTGAATCAAGGCACTAGCAGATTTATTGTCTGGTGAGGGCCTGCTTCATAGATGGCTTACTCTGTCCTCACATTGTGAAAGAAGTAAGGGAGGCGTGGCACAGTGGCTCACACCTTTAATCCCAACACTTTCAGAGGCCAAGGTGGGCAGATCACCTGAGGTCAGAAGTTTGAGACCAGGCTGGCTGACATGGTGAAACCCCGTCGGGAGGCTGAGGTGGGAGAATCTCTTGAACCTGGGAGGCAGAGGTTGCAATGAGCTGAGATCACACCATTGTGCTCAAGCCTGGGTGACGGAGCAAGACTCCGTCTCAAAAAAAAAAAAAAAAAAGAAAATTGTGAGGGATTTCTCTGGTGTCTCTTATATAAGGGCATTAATCTCATTCACAAGGGCCCCACCCTCATGATCTAATCACCCTTGAAAGGCCCTGCCTCACAGAATTCTAAATTTAATCCTGGTCTTCCAGGTCTATATGAAGGTATATTTGTAAGGAAAAAATATTTTTAAGATAGAATATCAACATATTTATTTAATATTACCTTGATTGATAATGTTTAAATACACAAGCACTTGGTATGTAGACTTTATTTCTCTGGGTCTAAAACTACTAGGAGTGGGCCTTATGACTTGGTATATATTTAATTTTTATGAGTACATACTAGGTTTATATATTTATGGATTACATACGGTATTGTGATACCGGCACACAACACATAATAGTCACAGCAGGGTAAATGGGGTAACCATCACCTCAAGCATTTATCCTTTATGTTACAAACAATCCAATTAAACTCTTTTAGTTATTTTTAAATGCACAATAAATTATTGTTGACTGCAGTCACCCTGTTGTGCTATCAAATACATCTTACTCATTCTATCTAGCTCTATTTTTGGAACCATTAACCATCTCCACTGCCCTCTCCCCCACCTATCTACCCTCTCCAGCCTCTGGTAACCATTATACTATTCTCTATCTCCATGAGCTCAATTGTTTTAATTTTAGTTCCCACAAATAAGTAAAAACATGTAAAGTTTGTATTTCTCTGCCTGGCTTATTTCACTTAATATAATGTCCTCTTCTTTCCATGCATGTTGTTGCAAATGACAGGATCTCACTTTTTATGGCTGAATAGGACTCCGTTGTGTATATATACATTTTTTAATCCATTTGTCTGTTGATGTACACTTAAGTTGCTTCCAAATCTTGGCTATTGTGAATAGTGGGGTCATAAACATGGGAGTGCAGATAGCTCTTTGATATACTAATTTCCTTTTTCTGGAGTATATCTAGCAGTGGGATTTGCTGGATCATATGGTGGTTCTACTTTAAGTTTTTTGAGGAACCTCCAAACTGTTCTCCATACTGGTTGCACTAATTTAATTCCCATCAACTGTGTACAAGGTTTCCCTTTTCTCCACCTCCTCGCCAGCATTTGTTATTGTCTTTTTAATAGAAGCCATTTTAACTGGGGTGGGATGACATCACTTCATAGTTTTGATTTTTATTTCACTGATGATCAATGATGTTGATTGAACAACTTTTCATACACCTGTTTGCCATTTGTACATCTTCTTTGAAGAAATGTCTATTAAGTTTTTTGCCCATTTTAAAATCACATTTTTTCCCTATTGTTTAAGCTCCTTATACATTCTGGTTATTAACCCCTTGTCAGATGGGTAGTTTGCTCTAACTAGGACTTCCAGTACTATGCTTAATAACAGTAATGACAGTGGGGATCTTTGTCATGTTCCAGATCTTAGAGGAAAGCCTTTCAGTTTTTCCCTATTCAATATAATACTAGCTGTGGGTTTGTCCTATATGGCGTTTATGATGTTCAGGTATGTTCCTTCCATAACCAGTT
Organism: Homo sapiens; assembly: GCF_000001405.40. Classification (NCBI taxonomy): domain Eukaryota; kingdom Metazoa; phylum Chordata; class Mammalia; order Primates; family Hominidae; genus Homo; species Homo sapiens. The sequence goes on along the minus strand of NC_000011.10, from coordinate 31,391,177 downwards.
TCTCAAGGGTTTTTGTCATGATATGATGTTGAACTTCATCAAACACTTTTTCAGTATCAATTGAAATGATTATATGGCTTTTATTCTTCATTCTGTTGATAAGATGGATCACATTGATTGATCTATGTATGCTGAACCATCCTTGCATCCGAGGGATAAATCCCACTTGGTCACGAAGAATGATCTTTTGAATCTGGTTTGCTAGTATTCTGTTGAGGACTTTTACGTCAATACTCATCAGAAATATTGGCCTATGTTTTCCTTTTTTGATGTGTCTTTGTCTGGTTTTGGTATCAGGGTAATAATGGCCTTGTAGAACGAATTTTGAAGTATTTTCTCTTCCTCTATTTTTCAGAATAGTGTAGTAGGATTGGTATTAGTTCTTTAAATGTTTGGTAGAATTCGGCAGTGAATCCATTGGGTGCTGGGCTTTTCTTTACTGGGAGATTACTTTTTTTTTTTTTTTTTTTTTAAGATGGAATCTCACTCTGGCAACCAGGCTGGAGTGCAGTGGTGCGATCTTGGCTCACTGCAACCTCCACCTCCCAGGTTCAAGCAATTCTCCTGCCTCAGCCTCCCATGTAGCTGGGACTACAGGCATGCGCCACCAGGCCCAGCTAATTTTTGTATTTTTAGTAGAGACAAGGTTTCACTATAATGGCTAGGAAGGTCTCGATCTCTTGACCTTGTGATCCGCTCCCCTTGCCCTCCCAAAGTGTTGGGATTACAGGCATGAGCCACCGCACCCGGCCTTTAATTTTTTTTTTTTTTTTTTTTTTTTTGAGATAGAGTCTTGCTCTGTCACCCAGGCTGGCGTGTAGTGGCACGATCTCAGTTCATTGCCACCTCCACCTCCCGGGTTCAAGCAATTCTCCTGCCTCAGCCCCCCTACTAGCTGAGATTACAGGTGCATGCCATCATGCCTGGCTGATTTTTGTATATTTAGTAGAGACAGGGTTCCGCCATGTTGGCCAGGTGGGTCTCCAACTCCTGACCTCAGGTGATCCACCCGCATTGGCCTGGTGGCTAGGATTACAGGCGTGAGCCACTGTGCCCAGCTTGATTTTATTACATCTTCGATCTCGTTACTTATTATTGGTCTGTTCAGGTTTTGGTTCTCCTTTTTTCATGTGGGCACCTATTGCTATAAACTTCCCTCTTAGTACTGCTTTTGCTTTATTCCATAGGTTTTGGTATGTTGTGTTTCCTTTTAACATTTGTTTCAAGAAATTTTTCAATTTCCTTCTTAATTTCTTCATTGACCCACTGATCATTCAGGAGTATGTTGTTTAATTTCCATGTATTTATATAGTTTCCAAAATTCCTTGTTATTGATTTCTAGTTTTACTCCATTGTGGCTGGAGAATATGCTTGATATTATTTAGACTTGTTTGAATTTTAAAAAATTGTTTTGTGACCTAACATATTGTCTGTCTTGGAGAATGATACATGTGCTGATGAGAAGAATATTTATTCTGCAGCTGTTAGATGAAATGTTCAGTAAATATCTATCAGGTAGGTCCATTTGGTCTATAGGTGCTGATTAAGTCTGATGTTTGTTAATTTTCTGTCTGGAAGATCTGTCCAATGATGAAAGTGGGATGTTGAAGTCTCCAGCTATTACTGTATTGGGTTCTACCTCTCTCTTTAGCTCTAATAATGTTTGCTTTATATATCTGGCTGCTCTAGATATCTATTTGGTGTATATGTATTTACAATTGTTATATCATCTTGCTGCATTAACTCCTTTATCACTATATGACCTTGTCTCTTTTTATAGTTTTTTTCTTGAAATCTATTTTGTTTGATATAAGTATAGCTCCTTTTACTCTTTTTTTGTTTGTTTGTTTCAATTTGCATGGAATGTATTTCTACATCCCTTTAAGTCTATGTGTTTCTCTATAGGTGAAGTGGGTTTCTTGTAGGCAACAGATGGTTGGGTCTTGTTTTTTCTAATTCATTCAGCCAGTATTTCGTTTTGGAGAGTTTAGTCCATTTACATTCAATGTTATTATTGATAAGTAAGGACTTACTCCTGCCATTTTGTTATCTGTTTTCTGGTTGTTTTGTGGTTTTCTCTTCTTTCCTTCCTTCCTGTCTTCCTTACAGTGAAGGTGATTTTCTCCGGTGGTATGTTTTAATTTTTGCTTTTTATTTTTTGTGTAGCCATTGTATGTTTTTTGATTTGAGGTTATCATGAGGTTTGCAAATACTATCTTACAACCTATTATTTTAAACTGATGACAACACTGATTGCATAAACTAACAAGCAAAGAGATAACTAATAAAAACTCTGAACTTTTACTTCATCCTCCTGCTTTTTAAATGTTTGTTTCTATTTTATATCTTATTATACTGCCTATTTCTTGAAGTGTTATTGTAGCAATTACTTTTTATAGGTTCATCATTTACTCTCTCTTCTCAGGATACAAGTAGTTTACCTACCACAACTACAGTGTTATGAGTTTTTCTGTGTACTTATCGTTAACGGTGAATTTTGTACCTTCAGACGGTTTCTTATTGCTCATTAATGTACTTTTCTTTCAGACAGAGGAAGTACCTTTAGTATTTCTTGTAGGACAGGTCTGGTTGATGAACTCCCTCAGCTTGTATTTGTCTGGAAAAGTCTTTATTTCTCCTTCATATTTGAAGGATATTTTTTGCTGGATATACTATTCTAGAATAAGATTTTTTTCCTTCAGCACTTTAAATATGTCATGCTACTCTTTCCTGGCCTGTAAGGTTTCCACTGGGAAGGCTGGTGCCAGACACATTAGAGCTCCTTTGCATGCTATTTGATTCTTTTCTCTTGCTGCTTTTAGGATCCTCTCTTTGTCCTTGACCTTTGGGAATCTGATTATTAAATATCTTGAGGTAGTCTTATTTCGGTTAAATCTGCTTGGTGTTCTATAACCTTCTTGTACTTGAATATTGATATCTTCCTCTAGGTTTGAGAAGTTCTCTGTTATTAACCATCTGAATAAACTTTCTACGCCTCTCTCTCTCTACCTCCACTTTAAGTTTAATAACTCTTAGATTTGCCCTACTGAGGCTATTTTCTAGGTCTTGTAGGCATGCTTCCTTCTTTTTTTATTTTTTTTTCTTTTGTCCCTTGTGACTGTATTTTCAAGGAGCCTGTCTTCAAGCTCACTAATTCTTTATTCTGCTTGATCAATTCTGCTGTTAAGATATGCTGATGAATTCTTCAGGATATGAATTCCATTTGTCAGCTCCAAAATATCTGCTTGATTCATTTTAATTATTTCCATCTTTCTGTTAAATTTATTTGATAGGATTTTGAAAGGCTTCTCTGCGTTATCTTAAATTTCACTCAAAACACCTATTTTGAATTCTCTATTTGTAAGGTCACATATCTCTATCTCTTTGGCATTGGCCACTGTTGCCTTATTTAGTTTGTTTGGTGAGGTCGTGTTTTCCTGGATGGTCTTGATGCTTGTGGATGTTCACTGGTGCCTGGGCATTGAAGAATTAGGAATTTATTGCAGTCTTTGTAGTCTGTGCTTGTTTATGCCTGTCCTTCTTGGGAAGGCATTCCAAGTATTCAGAGAGACTTGTGTGTTGTAATCTAAGTCTTTGGTCACTGCTCGTATATCTTCATTAGAGGGCATCCCAAGCCCAGTAATGCTGTGGCTCTTACAGACTTGTAGAGTTACTGCCTTGGTGATCTTGGGTAAGATCTGGGAGAATTCCCTGGATTACTAGCCAGGCTCTTGTACTCTTCCCTTATTTTCCCCCAAATACAGTCTCTCTCTCTCTGTGCTAAGCTGCCTGGAGCTGGGGAAGGGGTAACACAAGCACCTCTGTGGCCATCACCACTGGGACTGTGGTGGCTCAGACTTGAAGCCACCACCGCACTGGTTCTTGCCCAAAGGCCCACAGTGACCACTACCTGGCTACCTACCTATGTTCACTCAAGGTCGCAGTGCTCTATAATTAGCAGGTGTTGAATTCAGCCAGGCTTCTGTCCTTCCCTTCAGGACAGTAAGATCCCCCTGGCCCTGGGCAAACCCAGAGATGCTATCTGGGACCAGGGCCCGGAGTTGGAATCGTAGGAGTCTATCTGGTGCTCTATTGTACTGTAGCTGAGCTGGCACCCAAGCCACAAGACAATGTCTTTCCCACTTTTTCCTCTCTTTTCCTCATGCAGAAGGAGTCTCTCCCCTATGGTCACCACCATCCCAGGCCTGCAGCAAGTACTGCCTGGCTACCACTGATGTTCACTCAAAGCCTACAGACTCTTCAGTCAGCTTGGGGTGAATGCTGCCAGCCCGGGGTCTCTCCCTTCAGGGCAGTGGGCTCCTCCTGGCCCAGGGAAGGTCCAGTGATGTTGTTCAGGAGCCACAGTCTGGAGCTGGGGATGCCAGGAACCCACTTAGTGCTCTACCCCACTGTAGCGAAGCTGGTATCCAAGGTACAAAACAAAGTCCCTTTACTTGTCTCTCTCCTTTCCTCTGCAGGAGTCTCTCTCCATGGCCACCATAGCTGAAAATGTGGTGGGTCACATCTGAAGCCAGCACAGCCCTGCGTCTTACCCAAGGCCCACAGCAAGTACTGCCTGGGTACCAGTGATGTTCAAGGCCCAACATCTCTTTAGTCAGCTGGTGATGAATCCTGCTAGAACTGGATCCTTCCCTTCAAGGCAGAAGGTTCCCCTCTGGCTCATGGTGTGTCTAGAAATGTAGTCTAGGAGCTACAGCCTAGAATGGGGGGCCTCAGGACTCTGCCTGATACCCTATTCTACTGTGGCTGAGCTGGCATCCAAGTTGCCAGACATAGTTGCCTTTACTCTCTACTATCTTCATCTCAAGCAGAAGGAAGGAATCTCTCCCAGAGTTGTAAGCTGCATTGCCTAGGGTTGGGGGAGGGTTGATGCAAGTACTCCCTGGGCCACCCTAGCTGGTATCTCATCAGGTCACGTGGACCCCAAGTCAACTGGCTCTGAGCCCAGCATAACACGTGTCCAGGAATTACAACCCTTGTGGCCTAGACTGCCTTTCAAGTTTACTTATGACCCCAGAGAACTTTAGCTCATGGTGGCAGGGTTTGCTGGAATTGGAACTCAGATTCAGACCTCTGGGATAGAAAACTTGCCTCTGTCTAGGGCTGATCTAAATGCTCTTTGTGGGTGCTGGTTGAGTTCTGCCAAGTGTTGCTTTCCGCTGTGACACAGCAGCACTGTGGATGCAACATCCTACGAGCATGGTGCTCTCCCTTCCCCAAGCACACGGATTCTCTTTCCACGCCATGTGGCCACTGCAGGGGGATGGGGGAGAGATGGTGTAGGTGATTAAAGACTGTCTTTCCTATCCTACTCCATGCCTCCTTCCTTAATATAGTTATTCAATTTGATGTTCCTGCAGAGGGGATGACCACCGGAGGCTTCTATTCGGCCATCTTGCTCTGCTTCCTCTCTAGGATTGGGCCTTAATAATATTACATTATTACTATCACCTTTTCACAATCTTGTCAAAAGAGGGAGGAAAAAAAGAACACTCAAGAAACCTTATATTTTTAGTGATCTTTGTGTTAGTTTACTTAACTTAGAAAAGAAACAAGTCTTTTAATGATAATTTAATTTACAAGATTTTTCTTACTTAACTCCCAGGGGGATTGGAGTCAATCATATGGTGGGACAGTAAGTGATTAAATTTTTACATTTCTAAGATCTTCATACAGTTTAACACAAAACAAACCAACAGATATCATCTAATATATAATTTACTTCAAATGCTTTTGTGGCACATTACAGTAGTACATGCATAAGATGGCATTCATTGAAAAGTCAGGGACATCTAGATAGTCACCAAAGTTTGAAGGAGTTGTAAAATCAAAAAGGTCACTGTAAGGGTAGATTCTAAAATCTACTCATGTATCTGGGAAGATCATGGCTCAAACAAAACATGGTTGGAATAACCAGTTTTTTGGCCCTTTTTTATTATGTAATAATAAATTGCTCCAGTTGAATGCTTCACCACCTGAAGTTCCTTTTAATATTTACTTTCTAAAAACCCGATATGAAGAATCTAGAATAATTTGTGATAAATGTTTAAAACTTTTTAAAAATTACAAGATAGTGTGCAAAAGTCACTGTGATTGTGAAGTAATCATGTCTGAACTAAAAGATGCATTAAACTGGGTAACAGAGGCTTTTTAAAAACTCTTTTTTTCCCTTATAATTTTCATGACTATTATTCCTAAAAACAGTATTCTTTAGTAAACTGAAAATTATATGCTTATATTCTCTATTTTCTTTTTCAGATACTTTCCTTTAAGTATCTAATATGCTTATTCTTCCCGATTCTAACATTCTCTTCTGGAACACTATTTGAAGCTCTCAAAAACATATCTTCAGACTAGCTATTGAAAATCTCAAGAGAAAAATGTTCCACACTCTTGGCTGAATTATTAAAAATGAAATCTAACAGCTGGATAGCCTCTGAGGATAGGTGTAGACAAAACACTGGTTCAAAGATTGCTACAGGTCAAATCACTTCACATGCTGTGTGGCTCTATTCTGTCATCAGTTCACATGGGTCAAGGGCTATGTAACATCATCAATGAACCTGTAAGGAATAATAGAAAAGGGAGAACCGTACTGCAACTCATATAGAGAGGCCAAATGAACAGAGCCAACTTCCTTCTTAACCTTTTTATTCTCCTTCAGCAAAATCCAGCACAATTCAACCAAAGAATGTACTGAGAATCTATTATATTGAGTCCATGAAGTTGGTGCTACCAAGGATACAAAAATAACTAAGACAGGATCCCTGCCTCCAAGAACTTCACTTCTAGCTGAGAGGGAGCCACAGGCATAAGCAATTAGAGTAAAGATAGGATATGGACAGTGGAATAACAGAGTTATGATGTATCAATGGAACATCTAAGAAGTGGGGAGACTTTCTGAGTAACTACAATGATTAGTTCAAGAAGTTCTTTGAGTTGTGCCTTAATGGGAGGTAGACTTCCTCCACTGAATAGGAAGAAATGAGAAGAGGGCTTCTTATTTACAATGGGGGTAGCGCTAGTCTATTCTTTTCATTGAGAACTACAAAATGAAGATGAAATACATTATAAAACACTGTAAAAGCATCAAAGAGTTGACAAGATAGTAAGGCCAAAACTGAAGGAAAAACAATCAAAGACAAAGAACTGAAGGTGTTTTTGCCCTGAGAGTATTTTGCCTATTCTGGAAATTATTCTGGAAATGAACTTTTGTTCTGATAGCCCTATTTGGCTTAAGATAATTACATACATTATAGAGGGACTGACTGAAGAAGGACAGATTATTAGAACAGAAAACAAAAAAGCTGAAACGGAGTCCCACACCTAGCTGTGCAGAGGAGATACATTCTGTTACATTAGGACGAAAGGCTGCATCAGGTGTGGTTCCCACACTTATGGCATATGCTGGCCCTTGCCCTTTTTTCCTCACAATACAGCAATCCGGGGGGCATTTCTTTTCCATAAACTACAAGCAAAACTTTCTGTGCAACCTTGCTTTCCAATTCCTGTAACTGGTAATAGCACTAACTTCCCAACATGCAACTGAACACTTACAAAGTAAGAACAGTTTTCATAGGTGTCCAGATCCAAAGACAATGTGAAAATTACATGTAATCAAAACTACTCTTGAAAATCTTTAAATTGTCCATGAAGTACAGTATCTGAAGTTTCATGAATATAACCTATAATATTATAATATGAGAAATACATGTATTTGGTCTCTGCCCCTAGTTCCTGGCAAACAGCTCCTAAAACCCTTGGAGTCTCTAGAGTGAAGAGTATCTTTTGTATGCTAATGGAATGACTAGTGGCTGGGGGCCCCTAGGCAGCTTCAGGATGGTGGCTGGTCACCAGAAAGACTAAAGCATGATTGGAGGGTTGGGACTTTCAGCCCCAGCCCTCAACCTCCAGGAAGTGGAGAGGGGTTGATGGTTGAGCAGATCACCAGCAGCCACTGATTTAATCAAGTATGCCTACCTAATAAAGCCCTCATTAAAACGGATGGAGTACAGTGACCTCCAGGTGGGTTAACAAAGAACACACTGTGCCAGAAGGGCAGTGCACTCCAAATCCACAGCTTCTGCACTGGGGACCCCTACAGACCTCACCCTATGGATCTCTTCATTTATATTCTTCAAAATATCCTTTGTAATGAGTATGTAAATACAAGTAAATTTTCCGAGTTCTGTAAGCTGCTTCAGCAAATCAATTGAGAACAAAGAAGGAAACATGGGAACCCAGATTTACAGCCAGTCAGTCAGAGGCACATATCACAACCTGGGGCTTGCATCTGACACCTAACATGGAGGGGAGTCTTATGGTAATGAATCCTTAACCCTTATGGATCTGACACTGACTCCAGGTAAACAGTGTCAGAACTGAATTACAGGACACCCAATTGGTGTCCACTGGAGAACTGCTTGGCATGTGGGGAGAAAACCATGCACAATCCTACAGTCAGAAGTACTGTATTGAGTGGTGTGTGAGAGTAGGGAAAACACTTTGGCTTTTTCCCATCTCAAAACAACTGTATACAACAATATGTACATATAATTGCATTACATATACAATAATAAACAGATAAAACCACACATCCAAAATATAATTTTCCCATTTTTAAATGTTTTGATGGACAATAATAGTTAAATTAGTATAATGTCATTATTCTGTATTTTTATATGGCCCTGCATGATTCTTTAAATGCATCTTGTACATAATTTCTACTGATGATGATAAATTATGATAAGGCATCACATGCAAGACACTGGCTAAATGCTTTATATTCATTCTTTCATTTAGTCTTTATGAAACCCTTGAGGTAGGTATTATTGTGTTGATTTTTGCAGATAAGGAAACTGAGTCTAAGAGAGGTAAGTCATTCTTCCTAGGTCACACATATCATAAATGGTACAAGTGAGGCCCAAAGCCATGACTTTTAATTACTGTGCTATATATACAGCCTCCCTATAAAACCACATTTTAGAATTTATATACTGTACATAATATTTATTACATCAGATACCAGTACTTAAAATAAACTCTGCCATATCCACAGCACCTGGAAACAGTTCCTAGAAAAACAGTATATACTAACCCTAACAAATGCTGAGTGAATGGATGAATGAATTACTAAAGACACCCTCACATTGTTTCAATCCTCATAAACAGATTCGAATATATACATTTAACTAATTTGAAAAGTATAATTCTCAAAAAAATATTCTGGATTACCTTAGGGATTGTAAGAATTATATTTTGTATTTTTAAATGTTTTGAGAGCCAGGCGTAGTAGCTCACACCTGTAATCCCAGCACTTTGGGAGGCAGAGGCAGGCGGATCATCTGAGGTCAGGAGTTCGAGACCAGCCTGGCGAACATGGTGAAACCCCGTCTCTACTAAAAAATACAAAACTTAGCCAGGCATGGTGGCATGTGCCTGTAATCTCAGCTACTGGGGTTAGCTGAAGCAGGAGAATTGCTTGAACTGGGAAGGCGGAGGTTGCAATGAGCTGAGATAACATCCCTGTACTCCAGCTCGGGTGACAGAGCAAGACTCCATCTCAAAAAAAAAAAAAAAAATTTTTTTTTGAGATAACCAAAAAGTAATGAATAGCTAGTTTAAGTTGCTTCAGGGAAAAAGATATGTCTTTTCCAGACACTTATCCTACACACCACACCAATAACAATGCTCAATTTACAGTCAATTTCAAAATCTTAACAGAATGAGAAGAGACTTTACAGTCCATTACTGAGTTTAAGAATCTATTTGATCTTTAATTGTAGATAACATGGACACAACAACATTAATTGTATTTGTGACACAGAAAATAATTCAAGCACAGATATGTAATACAAATTATTATAATTATTAAGAAGAGTGAATTTGAAAATAAGGGAAAAATCAGTCAAAACACAAATAACCTTAACCAGTAAAAGGGGATTCGTGAGCTAAAAATTTATGATTTACTTGAAGTCAAATTTTAACGATGCTTCATGTCTCAAGAGGTATGATTTTATGTATACCTTACAAGTAATAGTTACTACTTTTAATCATATAAAACCCATATAACACCCGAATGCACTAATCAGACTTCTTATAAAACATACCCAAATGCACTAATCAGACTTCTTACAAAACATTTTGGTTGAAAGTATACTATGTAATGTGCTATAATAAGATTTACTCTTTGGGAGTGGGTGAAGGGATAAATTAATCTCTCTTTAAAAATCTTTACTAATATGGTTCATTAAAGGCCAAATAAAACATCAAGATGTTTTTAGAGCCTAAAATAATGGCTCAAGAAATCTATAGCAACAGAAAGCAGATCCATGGTTGCCCAGGGAAGAATGAGAAGCATAAAGGAACTTTCTGAGATGAAAATGTTCTATATCTTGATATGGTGTTGATTATACACATACATGTAGTCAAGACTCACTGAAATGTACTAAAATAGGTACACTTTATTGCATATAAATTATACCTCAATAAAGTTTATTTTTTAAATGCCTAAAAGAAATACATCCTAATAAGAAACATAATAAAGTTCGAGTTATTTTATAAAAATAAAAGAAAAAGTAAAACAACTATCACCCTAGTTTCTAGAACTCCAAAAATTTAACAAAAGTGGGATATTAATCCCTTCAGAAAGGACTGACAAAAATGTTTTCCTGTCTTTGTATTTTGGCGTAACTGAAAATAACATACGCCAAATCATAAGGAAATTCTAAATGTGAATATATTTTAAAACAAAACTTTCACTTTTCCCATGTTAATGTTTGCTTAATAATACTGGTTGAAAATGATTTTTGGTCTGTAAGTTCGTTGCATGTTACTCGATTTTGAATATTTATTATGTGTCTTTGTTCTACTTTTCTGTGCTCATCTTCCACATCCTCAATCTCTTTCTTTAGTTTTTGACATTCTATGATTCTTTTAGCTAGATTCTTTCAGTTTCTGAAACGCTATAATTCTTTTAAGCTAGACTATGTGATAAATATAATAATGCCCTAAATCATCTCTTCATAGATTTCCTATCAGCTAGGTAAGTCAGATGATAATTAGAAAGTTATTTTAAGATTTCTTTCAGCCGGGCACAGTGGCTCATGCCCATAATCCCAGCATTTTGGGAGGCTGAGGCGGGTGGATCACCTGAGGTCAGGAGGTCAAGACCAGCTTGGCTAACATGGTGAAACCCTGTCTCTACTAAAAATACAAAAAAAGAAAAAAAAATTAGCTGAGTGTGGTAGCGGGCGCCTGTAATCCCAGCTACTTGGGAGGCTGAGGGAGGAGAATCGCTTGAACCTGGGAAGTGGAGGTTGCAGTGAGACTAGATCGCACCACTGCACTCCAGCCTGGACGACAGGGTGAGACTCTGTCTCAAAAGAAAAAAAAAAAGATTTATTTCTTTCACTGTCTGTAAAAGGAAACTGTGGAGCATTTATACTCAGATTTTCTAACTTAAAAGCATTATCAACGATGACATTTTAAACAAGCCATAAAGGGGATATTTTTCATCTTAAAAACATGGCAAATGAGAGACAGATTACCACTGCAGTCTCAATTAATTGTTCTGTTTAAATTGCATCCATTATGAGTCAACAAACCAATCTTGGGTTGCCAAAAGTTACTTACAGTATGTTAAATTAAGAAAAAAATTCTCAGACTTGGTGGGTCAGCGAGAGCAGCGGTCCCCAACCTTTTTGGCACCAGGGACCAGTTTTGTGGAAAACAATTTTTCCATGGATGGGGGTGTAGGGAGTATGGTTTCAGAATGAAACTGTTCCACCTCAGTTCATCAGGCATTAATTAGATTCTCATAAGGAATGTGCGACCTACATCCCTCACATGCACAGTTCACAATAGGTTTGTGCTCCTATGAGAACCCAGTGCCACAGTGGATCTGACAGGATGCAGAGCTCAGGTGGTAACACTCGCACACTGGCTCCGCACCACCTGCTGCATGGCCTGGTTCCTAACTGGCCATGGACCAGTACTGGTTTGCAGCGCGGGGACTGGGGACCCCTGAGCTAGAGGACAAATGAAAATATAATAGAGAAAAAAACAAAAACAAAAGAACAAATACCAGAGCTGGCTTTAGAGAGTAACATAGTATAAGCATCTCATTTTTACAGATGAAGAAACTCAGATCCATGCAGTTTATGTATGTTAAGACACACCTTAGTTGTCCTAGCACAATTTTACTGGAAATGGCTAAGATAAAAGAAAATGAACTTCTTAAGATATTTTTACATTCCTCAAGAATTGGGGAAGTAAATGTCATTAACTAATAATCAGGCATGATAAGAACTCAGGTTTCCACAACACCACACTGCCACCTTTCACACTTTTCACCAAGTTTCTAGTGTAATTTCCTTCCCTCCCTCTAGAGCTCACGCTTAACTTTTCACTAGTCTGTACCTTTAACATAAATAATACCTTTTCTCTAAAGATATAATCTATTATTGCTGCATTTATGCGATAGGAATATTAAAAAAAAAACCACTGGAAAGGTAACTGACTGCCTGCTTTTTTTTAATACAGTTTTCAAAGTATATGTAAAGTGTGTCATAATTTCTTGCTGCTAGTCAGTATGTTACTTAATCTCTGAGCCTTGGTTTACCCATCTATATATTAGAAATAATAATGATATTGCACTTTGCAGAGTTGAATAATTCACATGAAGTGATTACAAGAGTATCTGATACGCAGTGCTACATGTTAGCTAAAGTTATTCATTTAAAATGCTATTCCTACCACTTTTATCACGAAAAAGAATTGTTTATGATAGAGTCTCCCTATGACATAACTATTTATTGTTACGTATCATGCATTCTATATATTAATAATACCTAGATGACAGCTAAATAGTTAACTATGGTAACAGAAATTATAATGTGAACTACAAGACAAGTTATATCTTCCAGATTTTTACTTACAACACTCCTAGATTTTTTTTCACAAAATTTCTCTTAATGCCTAAGTACCTTTCCTGTAATCAAGATCTCTTTTGCTTTGTAATGTACTCAAAAGACTTATTTAAAGAATTGTTCTTCACTCCCTTCTTTTCCAACGTGGTAATTTTCTTCTGACTATAGTACAGGTCCCCTTTCTACTTTCTTTTTCAAGACATTAAAGTGGATGACATAACTAGCTTAAAGCTAATCTATATATAACCATTTCTAATCAAATGAGACCCTCTGAATGCCCACGTAAGTATTAAGTGGTATTTTACACCCTTCCAACATTAACAACAAGACCATCCTGCACACTCCTGACTCAAATTACATGGATTTTCTTCAAGATTATAGAACATATTATAACAGAAGCATATAATTTTCCAACACAATAACTCTTTTCCAACTGAGAAGTATCCTGTAATATTATCAGGATCAGTGGGAAAAGACCCCCAGTTCTCAATTTGACAAAGCTTTTGAGATGAAGCTTTCTCTTAAGTAAATAGCAATTTTCACATGCATAACTGCAAAAAATACAGGAATAACATAACTAATCATTCTGGACCCTAGACCATTTCAAAGCAATGGATTACTATTCAAATTGTTTTTAATAGAAAACTAAAAAAAATTTTAAAAATCAATTCACAATTGATTTACTAATAAGTAAAGTCCCTATTAATAAAACAGTGCTGAAAAATGTTGGTTCAATTACTTTTATTTTTTATATAGTAAACTATTACACGGCAGGCCAATATGTATGTCTATAATATGTAATATGTATGGTATGTGAATGTCTTTAAAACTAATTCTGCACTTTACGTAAATATGTATCTTTAAAGTATTCTAAAATATCTCAATTAGTAAGAATTTTTTCAGAATCAGGACCCTGAGTAAGCATTACATTTACAAAAACTGAAATAAGGAAACAGTATTTACTAAATCAATATGTATTGTAAACTCAGCAGCCTACAATTTAGCAATATTTTATCTAAACACCTAATTGTGCAGGAGGTGTTAAATTCAAAGTCTTCTGAACTTAGAAAATTACATGTAATACGTGTGCCTTTTTACAAAATTAGATACAAAATGCTGTTAGTCAAATGTAATTTTATTCTCCAACTGTTTTGTGACATTGTTGAAAAACACAGACTAACAAAATGTGATAGTTCTAATTGGGAAACAAGAATACGAACTTTAAAAGCCTGTTTTTGTTTTTAAAAATCTGATAAACATTATAAATAATATGCTTTTCCCTTATAATTTTCTCCTTAAATCTATTAGAAAGTCTAAACTTATGCAAAAAGAGTAAGAAAACTAAATTTCACTTCATAAGCCATAAAAAATCTAGATCCTTTCAAAATTACAAGACAGTAGTAATTATGTCTGACCTTCCATAATACTTAATTAACTGTGCATAAATGAGGTGTTCTATGGAAATCCAGAAAAAAATAAAAATTATGCCTTTAAACAACAGTAAACCCTTTTAGATGGCAATTATGAGAAGTGTGATATAATGCGAGAGAATCTAGAGTCAGAGGATACATGATCAAGCCTAGATCATAACCCTTACTAATTCTGTGTTTCTGACAAACCACTTAACTGTAAGTAAGCCTTCATTTTCTCAAGTACAAACATAGGGGTAACAAAGCCTATCTTACAGAAGATAAAACCAGATGTGAAAGCATTTGTAAACTGCTAAGTACAATACACGTGCTACTAATTATACACTTACTACTCTATACTTCCTAGCCTTCTTAAACAAAATTAACTGAACATAACTCATGGCCATAATTATGATTATAAATTATTGCGCTGAACTGTAATATAAGGACCACTGATACATCAACCAAGAAAAAAGAAGGGCAAAATGCTATGAGATGGTGTATTAATCCATTTTCACACTGCAGATAAAGATATACCCGGGACTGAGCAATTTATAAAGAAAAACAGGTTTAATGGTTCAAAGTTCCACACGGCTGGGGAGGCCTCGCAATCATGGCAGAAGGCGAAAAGCATGTCTTACATGGCAGCAGGCAAGAGAGAATAAGAGCCAAGCGAAAGGGGAAACCCCTTATAAAATCATCAAATCTTGTGAGACTTATTCACTACCATGAGGAGAACAATATGGGGGAACCCCCTCCTCGCCACCCCATGATTCAATTATCTCCCACTGGGTCCCTCCCACAACACATGGGAACTATGAGAGCTACAATTCAAGATGAGATTTAGGTGGGGACACAGCCAAATTATATCAGATGTATTGTCTCTTGTTGCCTGCTGCCAGGTTGTTAGCTGAGACTTCTTGCTCCCATAGTATACATAGCTATCTACAAGGAGCCTTCCCAGAATAATGCTAGTTGAAATTCTCTCTCCTGTAATTTGCTGCTTCACTTCATCTCTCACCCTTCTCAACAGATAACTTTGTCTTCTACTTCACAGAGAATAAAAAGAAGGTACCAAATGAGAGCTCATCAACTTTCCGCTACCAAACCTACAAATAAACCGGCTATTGCAACTATCTTTTCTTCCTTCCTTCCTTCCTGTAACAATGAAGACAGGTCCCTCCTATCTCTTACCTAAAGCTAATCCTTCTACCTATGATTCAGATCCTATTCCTCTCTGCTTTTGTTAATTATTCAAACTCTCCTATAACTTCAATCTCAAGCTTTTCCGTGGCCACTTCCCATACAGTGTAAACATGTTCAAGTCTCTCTCATCTTCTAAAAGAAAAGCAGAAGAAAAAATTTCAACCTTTTATTACAGTCCACCTACCCTCATTCTCCTTATCTAACAGCTATACCTCCCCTGTCTTAGAGAAATATCATGAAATGTACTAAAGACATGGCAGGGAGCTGGGGAGGCACGATTACAACTAAGATCATTTTGAAACAGTGAGTGAGAATCAGGTGAGGTAGTGGATGGGCAGAGTGCAAGTGCAAAGGCATATGGCCACAGAAGGGTATCTGGCCTCTAAAGGGAAAAGAAAATAGTTCAGGGCTTCCACTAAATGGCAAATTAATTAGAGAGAGGGTCTTGCTCTGTCGCCCAGGCTGGCGTGCAGTGACACAATCATATCTCACTGTAGCCTTGAACTCCTGGGCTCAAGCAATCCTCCTGCTTCAGCCTCACAAGTAGCTAAGATTACAAGTGTGAACCACAGCAACTGGCTCACACTTTCATCCCTCTGAAAATTCCTTGATAGTAACAGAAAAGGAATAATAATTTTTTAAAAAAAGGCATAAATGTGTAAGAACAAACAGGAGAGAAGAGAAAAAAACAGGCAAAAGAACAGGAGAGAAAAGACAGGCAAAAGACACCAAAATTTGAAGAGATGGAAAATTCATCAATAAATGATAACAAATTCAGTGTACCTGCAAAAACTGAAACCTAAGTCTAAAGTGAAAGAGACAAAGAAGTGAGTTCATTCACACAGAGGCAGGAGAAATTGAGGAACGGAAGGCATTAAGTACCTTTGAGAGTGGAGTTGAGGGGCAAAACTAAACAAGAGAAAGACTGGTTAAGACTAAAAAAATGGTTAGCCCTCCACCTCTCTTCCTCACTATAAAGCCAGAAATCACAATTCATTTTATGGGGCTAGCATAACTATGATACTAAATTTAGACATAAACATTACGAGAAAAGAAAATTACAGACAAATATACAGCATGAAATTAAACATAAAAATCCATGACAAAATAATAGCAACTAGAATCCCTCAATGTATAAATATAATAATGCTTCATGATAAGTGGTTTGTTTATCCTAGGGATGAGAAGTGGGTTTAACTTAAGAAAAATCTACGTGATTCACCACATTAACAAATTAAATGAGAAAAATCAATAAATGCAAAAATTCAATAAATGCAAAAAAAAAAAGGATCTAACAAATTTAAATACCTACTTACCATAAAAACTCTTAGCAAAGTATTAATTGGAAGAATTTCCCCAAGCTGATAAAGGGCATCTTTAAAAACATACACCTAACAGCATACTTACTGGTAAAACATTGAAGGTTTTCCTCTTAAAATCAGGAACAAGGCAAGGATACCTGCTCTTAACACTTCAACTGAACATTTTAATAGAAGCAACCAGCTAGTGCCTTAACGTAAGAAAAGGAAATACAAGACATACAGATTGGTAAGACAGAATTAAAACTCTCGTTATCTGCAAATGACATAATTGTGTTGGCAGAAAATTCTAAGAAATTGACAAAAATAGCTATGAAAATTAAAAAGCAAATTTACCTAGATTGTAGGATAAGAGACCAGTATATAAAAATAAGCTATAATTTTATATACTATCAATCAACAAGTGAAAAATGAATTATTTTTTAAAATACCATTTATAATGGAACCAAAAACCAAATACCTAGAAATAAATTCAAGAAAAGATATGTGAGACCTCTACACTGAAAATTATAAAACACTGACGAGAGAAATGAAAGATGGCTTAAGTAAGGAGAAGGATACATGTTCATAGATTCAAAGACTCAATATTATTAAGATGCCATTCTACCAAAGTGGATACCTATTATTGCAATCCCAGTTGAAAACTCAAGCAAGATTTTTTTGGTAGACATTTACAAGCTGATTCTAAAATTTCTGTGGAAATATAAGCAAACTAGAATAACCGAAATAAACTGGAAAAGAAGGATAATATTAGAGAACTAACTTTACAATGACTTTGAGACTGATTATAAATCTACAGTAATCAAGATGGAGGTATTAGTAAAAGGATAAACAACATATAAAACAGAATAGAGTCCAGTAATAGACTCATATTGCCAAGACAGTCCAATGGAGAAAAAAATTTTCAACAAATGATGCTGGCACAACTGAATATACTGAGGAAAAATAAAAACATGACCTCACATCTCATGCTATACACAGAAATCATAAGTCTAAAGGTAAAAGCAAATGACCACTTCTAGAAGAAAACATCGAAGAATATTCTCATAACCTTAGAGAAGATGGAAAGTATTAACTATAAAAACACACATTTGATAAATTATATTTTGTCAAAACAAAAAACTCTGCATCAAAAGACACCATTAAGAAAATGACCTGGTAAATCACAGACTAGGAGAAAATATATACAACATATATACAGAATCAAGAATATATTTAATTTAAAAAAAAACACTTCATAAAAGAAAATTATACAAATGGCCAATTATCACATTAAAAAGGGCTCAACATCATTAGTCATCAGATAAATTTTAAAAAAGCAACAACCCCACAATGGGGTATGACCAGACACTGTAGAGTAGTCCAGTGATTCTCATGGGATGTGGCAATTTTGACATGCAGGCGGCATTTTTGGTTGTTACTGGCATCTAGGATCCTGCCACACATCTTACAAAGCACAGGACAGCCGAAATAACAAAGAATTATCCTGCCCAAAATGTCAATGGTGGCAAAATTGCAAAAACTCCAATAGCCAAAATGAAAGAGACCAATAACATCAAATATTGGCAAAGCTGTAGAGCAACCAGAATTCTCTGATACATTGTTAGCGCATATGTGAAATGATTTACCTACTTTGCTGTTTGACAGATACTACATATTATGTGCAGACTGCTTCTCAGTGGCCAATTAAAGGCCAGCATGGCCTACAAGAACCAGAATGATCCAGTCTACTTTTCCAGGTTCATTTCCCAATTAACTGAGTGAGGTACAAGGATGGTTTAATATTAGGATATTTTTCAATAAAGTCTACTTGATTCTGCTGACAGAAACTTTAAAACTTCTGGGGCAAAAGGTACCTTAAGGTCATTTAGTCCAACATACTACCTAAAGTAAGAATATTAGTACAATCCTGATGATGAAACAGTTAGTCTCTCACAATGAACATTAATAGTTTTGGCAAAACAACACTGATGTAACTGGTATAAACTAAAGAGACAACAAATTCTATATAAATAATGGTTCTTTACTCTTTATAAACTGAGTTAACCGGACGTCGGTATAGAATTACAGACATTGGCTTAAGAAGCATCACAATACAGATTGAAAAAATGAATATAAAAATTCAGAGATATATTTACAAATACTACAATTCATTTAAAAAAAAAAGAGTCGGCCGGGTGCAGTGGCTCATGCCTGTAATACCAGGACTTTGGGAGGCTGAGGCGGGAGGATCACTTGAGGTCAGGTGTTCGAGACCAGCCTGACCAATATGATGAAACCCTGTCTCTACTAAAAATATAAAAATTAGCCAGGCGTGGTGGCATGCGCCTTAATCCCAGCTACTTGGGAGGCTGAGACAGGAGAATCCTTTGAAAGTGGGAGGCGGAGGTTGCAGTGTGCCAAGATCGCACCATTGCACCCTAGCCTGGGCAACAAGAGTAAAACTCCATCTCAAAAAAAAAAAAAAAAAAAAAAAAAAGTCAACTGATAATTAGTGTATAAATGGTCTAAATCAGCATTACCCAATAGAAATATAATGTAAGTATAAATGCCGGCTACATATGCAATGTTAAAAAAGTAAAATGCAAGAGAAACAAACTTTGATATGTGCAAATACATGCATGCATATTATGTATATAAAACACAAAATAGCCAGTAATCCAAAATATCATCATTTCAATATATAATCCACATAAAAACTGTTTGATTATTAACTACAAAGAATTATCAGACAGGGAGTTTAACTGTGATAAGTTTATTAAAGGATATAGTAGAAACAGTGGACAGTATGTATAAAAAGATGAGAAAGAGATAGAAACTTTAAAAAAGGAGCCAGTAGAAATGCTAGATATGAAAATTAGGTAAGAGATCAAGAATTCTTTTAAGAAGTTTATCAGCAGATGGACACAGTAGAGGAAAAATAAAACCAGTGAACTTTAATCAACATAATCAACATAAAAATTGTTAAATTATTTTAATTCCTTTTAAATACTGTCTTTAAAATCCAGTGTATATTTTACCCTTACAGTCCATCTCAAGTCAGGCTAGCCACACTTCAAGTAATCAACAGCCACATGTGGCTAGTAGCTACTGTTGTTTATTATGTAACAACACTTCTAAATATTTTACATGGATTATTTCATTTAATCCTCCCTTGGCACATATAAGAAAAAGTAACTTGTCCAAATTCTCACAGATAAAGATGGACTCAAGATTCTAACTCAAGCAGCCTGACTCAGATCTCCTGCTCCTAACCATGCTTTTCCACCTCAAATCAAGTTTTTCTGCAATATTACTGAAATGTTCAATTAAATCAAATTAATACCTGGATTCCTGCCACTGGTATCCTATTTTCTGGAAACCTAAATTTGTGGTTTCATATAAAAATTGATTTTTTTCCCCTCATGATTTAAAATCTGAAAGAAAAGACTTACCATTAATATGAGTTTTTGATATTTTTGTTTTAGGTCTGATATATTTGCAGATGGGTCTGCTCCCAGGATGCTGTACCAATCCTTTTTTGGCATCTGCTCAACCGCCATCATCCATGGAACCAGAAGTGGGCCTTCTCAGATTAGCTGAATAGAAATATTAATGACAATTCATCACAGTTTGCCATGTATCTAAGAAAAAATTAAGTACTGCCCTTGTAAATTCTTTAGTATTTAGTCGAGTAAATCATGATTATAATGCAAACCTGAGGAAGCACAGATTTTCATTTAAAATGCCCCAAGAATTCCAGGTATAAGTGTACCGACAAGTATGGAAAACGTGTTAGGTATTTCACGATATATATTTATACTTTAATTAATGAACAGCATTAAAAAAAAGAATTTTATAATGAACCAGGTGGTGTATGAACCTCTAAGAAGGTATTTCTGCTAGTCTTATGATAAAACTGGCACACAAGTAAGCACCCACTAAACACGCTGGAGGAGCTTAATGAATATTTACAAAATGAACGAATAAAAAAAAAGCAAAACAGAACATCAAAGAATTAAAATAAATTTGGGGGCATTCCTTCTGAAAGTTTCTCGTTTGCTTTTCCTCCAGATTGTCTGGAGAGCATGATATGGGAAATAACGTCAGCACCAGCTGGTAGAGAACAAGAGTCCCCTGTTATTGGAGAGGCGCTGAGACCTCGCAAAGACAGAGTGAAACTCTCTACGCGAGGATGCCCCAGTCTTCCACGCTCCAGAAGAGAGACCCTACCAGGAGCCCCAGAAATCAGGCAACCTCTTCCCACAGCTATATACACTTAACGAAACAGCCGGGGCCTCCTCAAGCTCGGGACTTGGGAATCTTCTCCATTCACAGTCGGCTTTACCCACCCAGCCATTGGCGGGCACCCTCTCCGCGCTTTATACGACATCAGACCTACCTAACTTCACATAGGCGCTGCTACCCACTCCTCGCCTGCTGTCGGCCAGAACTCCGGACCGGCTTCTTCTTCCGCCGGAAGTCACTGTTCCGACGTGTTCGCGTTTCTGGCCGAGCTGATGTGGCCGTGGCACAGCTCAGAAGCGACGCTCCGCCCACCCCGACGCGGTCTCTATGGTAACCGGTCACCGCTTCTATGGAGTGGCGTTTACTACCAGTAAGTTCCCAAACTGTGAAGAAAGGCGCCTTTGGCTTCGCTCTAAGTCTCTCTTTTCCGGGCCCCGCGACTGTCGCTTCTCTCCTCCTCCTCAGCGAGCACCCCCTCGCCATCCCAGGCTTTCCCCGCCTTTTTCAAAGCTTCCTCCGTTTACCGTACCCTGAGCTACTCTCAATCTTTTCGGTTGGTGCTTGAACTCTGGGGTGAGAGAGGGGTGCGGGGGCAAGGATGTGAGAAGGATGAGGAGACCTGATGCCACTCTCGTCCCTACAGTTCCTTTACAATGTTCTAATTCGAAAATTAAAAGAACTAAAACCTATGCCAGGTAGGGCTAGATGTGCGGGGGATGGGGTCGGTTTAATTTTTTCTGCAGAAGATATTCGACGTAATTATTAATATTTCTTTTAGACCTTAGCAACCAACTTACAACATAAAAACGTTCCAAAATTCTTTCACATTTGCTATTTCACTTCGCTTTCATTTCAACCCAGTGAGACAAGTAAGGCAGGTGCCATTATTCCCACTTTATAGATGAGGAAAGAAATCAAGGATCAAGGCCAAACAGCTAGTTGGGTAGGGGCAGAACAAGGACTCAGCAAGTCTACACATTCCCAGGGCAGCTATGCTATCTTTCAAGCTTACAGAAAAAAGCAGAATGAACTGTTCTTCTTCGAAGCAGTTAGGGGGCACTGCATATGGGCACTGTTGGGGTTTGTTATTGTTGCTGGTGGTGGTGGTGGTGGTGGTGGTGGTGTTTTTCTCACCTTTCTTTCTTCTCCCTTTCTTGATTCCTGTGTTTCCTTTTATTACTTCTTTGTGCTGCTTACTTTACATTAACACCTCTTCCTAGCATTGTACCTGGAGATGAAAACTACATCTTATTTTTGGCCAGCATGACATAAATTTCACTTGGAGATGTTAAAATGGTTTTGTTGTTACTGCTTTGATTTTGCTTTCCTTCTTTTTTAAACTTCTACCAATCTGAGTTTGAGAAGCAGTCAAGATAAACTTAAGCAGAATAAATAAAATAATCTAATATGATCAGTTATTTAATGATGTTATGAACTATAAAGAATAACTGAATGAAACAAGCAAGTTTAAAAATCTAAAGATGAAAGCATAGATTAGGTTCTCCACAGGGTTTTGTCATGTTTAAAGGCAGATACAAAGAGCATCTGGTTTTAGTCCTGGCTGCATCATACTTTCTTGTGTGGCCTCATGAAAATACCTAAAGCAATGGAATTAAGTAGTGTGGTGAATGCTTTTCTAAACAGTACTGTCAGAATGATGCCACCTTGAACATCTCTAGCCCTCAAACTCCCTTCTGTCCACAGCTTGGTTCTTCCTTGTGTAGGTAGATATGCTCCGGTACTCCAGGTTTTTTGTTTTTTACAGCAAAAGCATTTTATTTTGATTTACTATTTATTAGGTTATTGTGTTACCTTATTTATTTATTGGGGTTTGGAAAGTAAGAAATAGTTTTTTTCCCCAGCAATACCAAATATTTTGTCATTTCATCTCTACATACTTTAGTTTGCATCCCTAAAATGTACCAACTTTTTCTTTTATCTCCATAATGTCATTATTGGACTGTCACATAATATCTAGACCTTACTTACATTTCCACGGTTAATTGAAAATGTCTTTTTCTGGTTGGTTTGCTTGACTCAGAATCAGACAAAATGTACACTTTCCATTTAGCTGTTCTGTCTCTTAAATATCTTTTAAATTATAGCAGTCCCATTTCTTCACTAGAACCTTGTTTTTTTCTTTACTTGCCATTGGCTTACTGAATGAGAACAGTTGTCTTACACTCTGCTTATACCAAAATAAACTTCTTAAAACAATTTTTACATAAATTTCTGATCATTAAGCTTCCTTCATTTTTCATTTTATAGAGCAGTACTTTCCAATAGAAATATAATGTAAGCCGTAAGTGCAAGCTACAAAATTAATTAATCTAAAAATTATTAAGGCGATACTTTACATTCTTTTCTCCTACTAAGTCTTCAAAAGCTGGTATGTATTGTGCCCGAACACACCTCAATTTGAACTAGCACATTTCAAATGCTCAGTAGCCACATGTGACTAGTGGCTACTGTATCCAGCAGGGCAGGTCTAGAGAATAAAGTCCTAACTCCTTAACCTAGCATTCAAGTTACCTCTTCAATATGATCCTTACTTTTCCAACCTCCCCTATTATCTCCATACATTAAACATTTAAACAATTGGATCTTTTCATGGTACTGAAATCAACCCAACAGTCCCATAGACAGGGTTTTGTTTGTTTGTTTAGTTTTGTTTATTGGGGTTTTTTAAATTAATAAACATAGAAATGGACACTTCTTTTCTGAAAGCTTGAAACTTGCATTTGTTTTATCTTTTTGTTTGCTTGTTTGAGACAGAGTCTTGCCCTGGTGTCCAGTCTGGAGTGCAGTGGCATGATCTCAGCTCACTGCAGCCTCTACCTCCCAGGCTCAAGTCATCTGCCCACCTCAGATTCCCAAGTAGTTGGGACCACAGGTGCATGCCACTATGCCTGGCTAATGTTTGTATTTTTTTTTGTAGAGATGGAGTTTCACCATGTTGGCCAGGCTGGTCTGGAACTCTTGAGCTCAAGCAATCTGCCTGCCTCAGCCTCCCAAAGTGCTGAGATTACAGGCATGCGCCACTGCGCCCAGCCACATTTTGTTGATCTTTATCTCAGTTCCTTCCTCAAGAAAGGATGCCCAGACCTCTCAACAAGTATCAAAGAGCTGAAACTCACCAGATTACTGCATCTAGACAGTGATATGCCAGACCCCTCATTCTTCGTTATTGTTTCCTTACCCTTCCTTAGTTCCTGTTTTCTCATACGTAGTTAACATTTCTTCCCTGTTATATAAACCCCTAATTTTAGTCAGTGAGGAAGGTGAATTTGACACTGATGTCCCATCTCCTTGGCTGCAGCATCTGATTAAAGCCTTCTTCTTTGACAATAATCATTGTCTCAGTGATTGACTTTTTGGGTGGTAAGCAGCAAGACATAGATGGAACTCCTGGTGTTTTGGTAACAGCATTTCATCAATAATTGTGTTCAAATGCTTCTCCTTACTTATAACACCCTAATTCTTTTCTTCCTCCTATCAGAGTAATCCCTGCTTTAAGGCCTATCTCTTCCATCAAGCCTTTTATGATGGCCTGGTCCTTAGAACTTACTGCCGCCCCTCAACTTTCATAGCAAGTCCTTTGTATATCACAGTATATTGTTTTCCTTAGAATATATTCTGATTCCCCAGTTGGGTTGCAAGCTTTCTGAGAGCAAGAACACCTCTCCAGAGAAACTAAGAACCAGCTATCTTGCCTCATTCTCTGGAGTTCTAATGATACATAGCTCTAATAGTTTTGTTTCTCAGTATCTTATATTTAAAAGGCAATTTATCCATTTTATGTGAAACTTACATAGTGGAAATATAAACTATGTTAGTATCATGGTTAAAAGCATGAACTCTAGAGTCAGAACATATGTGTTTAGTCCAGGCTTTTCCTCTTACGGCTATGTGAACTTAATTCATCTCTTTGCTTTGGTTTCTTCCTCTGTAATATGGGAGTAATAATAGTATTTCCCTCATAGATTTGTTGTGGGAATTAAATGAGATAGTTGTGCCTGAAAGTAATAAGTATTCAGTAAAGGTTAGCTATTGTTGTTATTATTAATTAATAATATTTGTTGCACATTTGATATATTAGAATGTTGGACATTCATAACAGTATTTTAGGAATTTCCAAAGAGAGCAAATGACAGCAAGAAACAATTGAATTGGAAAAATAAAATCAAACCCAAATATTTGTTGAACTGTACATTTGGTTGGACTTCAGAATAAATTAAAAGGATAGGCAAAACTTTAGTTTGCGTCATCAGCATCTAACATAACCAAGGTAGGCGTATATTAAATATTTGATTCCCAGATGATTGATCAAGTGCTATAGATGTAGCTAGATACATCAGGAGTTTAAGATCCTTTGTCATGATGATAGGAAAAAATGACATTGTTATTAAATCTATCACTTTGGTACACGCCTGCCCGTAAACTAACGTCTACCAGACATTCACAAATTCTTAATTTGATGTCATACTAGTCAATTGTGCTTCTCATTGATGGATAATAATGGAAATCTATATCTATATTATATAGATGTATACATATAGTGTACTTCTGCTAATTATTTCCTATTCAGGATTATATTTACTTGGCTCTTTTGGTAGTTCCATCACCAACTATTCCTTCATTTCCTTGATTTTTATTTCTGAATTTTAGGATTTTTATACCAGTGAACTAAGCTGTATTTAAGTACCATGGGATATGATGGTTATGTTCCAAAATTGAATGATTGTCTCTAGAGCAACTTATAATCTACTGGGAAGATAGAAAAACCACCAAAAACTAGCTAGTTATTTGATTTTTAAAAGTCAATGATATATATACAGCCTTCATTCACCTATTGACTCAATCGACAAATATTTGTTGAGTGTCTCTTATGTACCCCACACTCCGTTAGTTACAAGAGACACAAAACAAAGTTGACTGTAGTCCTGTCAAAAGCTTAGTTTATCTGGGTAAACAGACATTTAAAAAGGAACTGAAATAACTGTAGGAAGTACTATGCCAGAGGAAATACCAGGTGCTGTGACATTAATTAATAACTTGCAGGTATACTAATACGTAGAATAGATTACTTGAATGATTAAAATCCTTGAATCAAGATGAAGCTAATCCAGGAAGATGTATGAAATGTTAAGTTTTAAATAGTGTTTTGAAGGAAGGGAGAGGTGAATGACTAGGATGAAAGAAACTTCCTTTCTTCTTTTTTTTTTTTTTGACAGATTAACATAAAGCTTTAGATAGTATTGAGAATCAGCTCTAATGAATAATCCTAGCTCATCTTTTAGAAATGGTTTTCATTTTTCCCTTTGTTGGTTGTCTTAACTCAGTCTATTATCTGCTTTGCCATTTTGACAATAGTCATCATCGATGAACTTTCGTTGAGTTTGTGCAAGGCAGTACACTAAGCAGGAGAGAAAGAGGAAGAGGTAAATATTTTTTGCGGGCACCGCACTTGTTGCTGTGTTTTTCTTGTTTTTTAGCATTATGTGTCAGTTCTTTCTAACTTTTTTCAGACCTCTTATAGGTCTTTATCTTATCTGAGATTTATGTTCCTGTTTTCCTATCTTCACATCTAATGTTTTAATCATTCCATGAGCCTATTAAAAATATTGTCTGTAATCCATCTTCTATTTATCTTTAATAGTCATACAAATACCAACTTGTTTTTTCCCCCATTCACTTGTTTGCCCTTTTCTCTTTTTTCTTATCACCACTCTGGTTTTTCTATGCACTTTCCAACTACACTGAAATTTGTGGTGATCTCTTCCAGTCATGTGGGGATATGCATTTATATACAGAAGCTCCTTGACATGTGATGGGATTATCTCTGATAAGCCCATTTTAAGTTGAAAATATTATTAGTGCCTTAATACATCTAGCCTACTGCACATCATAGCTTAACATAGCCTACTTTAATTGTGCTCAGAACACTTTCTTTAGCCTACAGTTGGGCAAAATCATGTAGCACACACTACACCATAGAGTATTGGTTGTTTACCCTCAGAGAGTGCATGGTTCACTGGCAGCTGCTGCTCCCTGCCACTGCCCAGCATCATGAGAAATTATTTTACTAACTATCACTAGCCTGGGAAGAGATCAAAATTCAAAGTATGGCTTCTTCTGAATATGTATTCAGTAGAATACACACCATGTAAAGTCAAAAAATTGTT
Organism: Homo sapiens; assembly: GCF_000001405.40. Lineage (NCBI taxonomy): Eukaryota > Metazoa > Chordata > Mammalia > Primates > Hominidae > Homo > Homo sapiens. Next base: position 31,363,881 of record NC_000011.10, on the reverse strand, counting down.
AATCAAACCATCCTAAGTCAGGTACTGGCTGTACTGTTTTTTAAAGCATGCTACTTTCTCTATTTTAGTTTTTTAATCCTGAATTTTTTTCGAAAAGTTTATTTTTGTCATGTAATTGACTTACAGAAGAAAGGTTAATCTGAATGATCAAGGGGTGTTAATTTGTGGGTTAAAATGTGTTAAACAGTTGATTTGAAGTCTGTTTAAGTCAATTAGAGAGTATAATGAAGATGTTTCCAGGGTGTTATGGAACCTTTTGAAGTTAAGTGTGGAATTCACTAGTGTATATTAACTATGGCACCTGGCTAAACATGTTATTGCATTCAGGTTTTTTAATTTGTGTGAATTCTAATAGGTATGAATGGGTCAACATACATAGAAGTTTGACTTTATTAATGAGCCTCATCTTTTGTAATAGGAAATTAAATTCATGACTTAATTCATCATTAGCAATGGAAAACATAATTAGTATCATTGTTATCTTTGTTACTTGCATATTTTTCTAAAATATAAGGCAATAACTCTTGTTTTAAAATAAGATTAGTGTCATTATTATAGGTTTTTAAATGCTAAGTATCTCATATGGAAGAGTAGAATTCATAAAGACATATAAAATGTTGTGTGCTCACTTAAAGAAATGATTTATTTCCTCCCCTAAAATTACATGAAGTAAAATTATGAGACATGTTAGTGTTGGTTAATATTTTCAAATATTTCAAAATAGTTAATATATAATTACACACAGTTTAATATTACTATGCTCAAATTCAGTCATTGAATATAATTTTTGTATGATGGTAGCATTATTTAAGATGATTAAGCATTACAACTTCAACAGTTTAAATCCACAAGAGATATGAAAGTAAAAATCAGATTTTAAAATACATTCTTCATTTAGCATCAGGGTTACTATAGTCTGTTTTTTATTACTTATGTCAGTTTACTAGTAATAAACACATTTAGCATTTCAGCTTCTTGCAACCTTTCAGTTTAATTAGTTAGAGACTGAGAAAAACAGGTCTTGTATGCTAAAGGGATTTCTGCAATGATGGATTAAATGCCAAAATAATGAAACCACACATCTTAAAAAATATACTGAAGAATAGATGTTTTCTGATGAATTTCCACAAAATATCATATTTTTAAAATACTTTCAGCAATTCATAGTATTACTTTTTAATCTACTGTAGAAGCACCATGACTCTAGTCTTTTGTAGCTCATTAGCAATTTCTTTAATGAGTTTTTTGGTGTGATAGATAGTTAAAGTAACAGACAAATGACAGATTGTTTGCCTTTAATGATTTCCCTGTTTCAAGCCCATTACAAAGCAATTAGAAATCTGACAGCATTTTCACTCTGCATTACTGATCGTCTGAAGTGATGAGGAATGAGAGGTGGTGAATATTAATTGTATATTTTCATATGATTATCATAAATTACTACCTTGTCTGATGTGCTGCAGGTGAAGCGGGAGCATTAGAGAAAGGCAGTCAGATACATTAATTTCAAACACTGTATGTTTTTTTAAAAAATCTTTGTAGTATAAATCCTAGTCTGCAATGTTAGTCTCTATGAATATTCCTCTATCACTATTAAATTAACTGTTTTTAGTTTCTATCTATATTTGGGACAACTGAAGTTTTCTTATTTGAATACAAGAAAAGGAAAGGTTATTCCATAGTACAGTGTACCTGTATCTATTTAAATTTAGAATCTTAAAAATCTGTGAATTTTGTTGATTTATATATTACATATATATACATAATATTCAGAAATTTCAGTATAGAGAAAGATACTCTTAGAAATAGGTCATAGTTTAGCGTTAGGCTAAAGTCAGGTAATCCTGCAAAAGAAGAGGTAGGAAAGTGTAGCCAAATGTAGAATGAGATATTTCTAGGCCCTCTGTAACAGTTCTTTTGATCTTAGCCCACAATATATCCTGTTTTTCTAGTTTCTTGCCTCAGGTAGATGTAGCTAAGACTGTCATCAGGATGCAAGTGCTGTTGTTACTTAGTTCCTGCGTTGGATTTGGAGCAAATGCTGGTCCAGAAACTAGATACAGTAAGAATTAGCAAGCCTAGAGCATTTTAAATGATTAGGGGCTGGGTGCGCTGGCTCACGCCTGTAATCCCAGCACTTTGGGAGGCTGAGGTGGGTGGATCACTCGAGGTCAGGAGTTTGAGACCAGCCTGGCCAACATGGTGAAACCACATCTCTACTAAAAATACAAAAATTAGCCGGGTGTGGTGGTGCATGCCTGTAGTGCCAGCTACTCAGAGGCTGAGGCAGGAGAATGGCTTGAACCTGGGAGGCAGAGGTTGCAGTGAGTTGAGATCACACCACTGCACTCCAGCCTGGGCAACAGGGCAAGACTCTTGTCTTAAAAAAAAAGATGAGAAATATATTTGGTTCAATTTTACTAACGTAAATTAGTTTATATTTTACTGTCTCTCTAAAGATAGGTATTGGTAATCGACATGTAATGAGTTGAGTTGAATTTCTTTGTGCTAATGAGGCTGTGTCTTCATTCAGTCCTTCCTTTTGGACCTTTTTGCTCTGGTTTTATCTGTGGAATTCCATCCCTTGCAGATGCATGCCATCTTGGATCCATCTTTATGGATCTTTATTTATGAAGAAGGTAATATGATTATAAATCAATAAAATGGATTTTTTACATGCTACTTTAAAACCGTTCTTTTTATTTTATATTCAATTGTATGTGTTTGCATTTTATATATACTTAAAGTAAAAGTTAGGCCTTCACAGATGAACTTTTTGGGTTTTGGAAAGTTGAGAACCATCTGAAATTCATTACATATTTACTGAGGGAAAAGTTAGGTATCATAATGAAAAAGCAAATAATCAGTAAAAGGGATTCAGTCTCCAGCATTTAGTAGCCCAATTTAATAATCTTGGTACTGGCTAAGATTTCCAAATGTATTAATTACTCTCCATATCTGATGACCTCCCAAGATTTTGCTTCACAGGGACCTCCTTTATCTATAGAGTAGGTCCAACTAACATAAAACTTACGGAATCAGAATGATGATTCCAAATCCCCTCAACTCTTTTCTGATGGTATTCCTTACCTTAGTGTTAGTCTAGACTTTTAAGTCAATCCTTTCTACAGCTCCACCAATTATCCTTTGCTTCTCTTTCCACTTCTAACATACCACTAATCAACACAGTTACAGTAGTTCTCCCTTATCAGTGGTTTCAGTTAACCATGGTTACCTGCAGTTTGAAAATAGGTAAGTATTGTAAAATGAGATATTTTGAGACAGAGAACAGAGTCACATAACTTTATTACAGTATATTCTTATAATTGTTCTATTTTATTATTAGTTATTTGCTGTTAATCTCTTACTGTGGCTAATTTATAAGTTAAACTTTATCATATGTGTATATGATAGGAAAAAACATAGTATATATAGGGTTTGATACTATACTGTATACACTTTTAGGCATCCACTGGGGGTTCTTGGATCATATCCCTTGCAGATAAGCAGAGGAAGAAATACTGTACTTGACTTTTGGCCAAAGTCTCCACATCTTTCTTTAGAGGAGTTGGTTTGGAAAACTTACATATTTTTTCCTATGACAGAGAACAGCTATCCATACCTCGGTATGTATTAATAGGAACCTGGGCTGTCTAACTGTGGCATTGTTAACAAACCAGTAGCTGAGGAAGCAAACAATCTGAAACTGTAAGTTATAAATAGCTGTATCTTCTCTGATAACAAAGAGTCTCTGGAATACTTTCTACCATGTCTAGACATGTTTTCTTGGACAATTCAGGAGGCAGACCTAAATACAAAAATAGGAACTAACATTTTAAATTAACAAGCACTTTTACATATTGCGTATGTTTTCATTTGATCCTTTTAACAGTCCTGTGAGGTAGGTAAGGCAGATACCATTATCATACACATAAAGGAATGAGACTGGGAAGAGACAGAGGCAAAAATTCAAACCCAAGTCAGTTGAGTTCAGATCTGTTGCATTTTCTGCCATACCACCTTAGCTCTTATATGTAAAAGCTCTTCTATTAAATGACTAAAATTTTAGAGACAGAGAACTTTAGAGTTTCTCCCTTTTATCAGTATCTCACACCCCCACATTTTAGACAGGTAGGGAAAATGTACAGAAAAGAGTTTAGGATTTACCACAGGTCTGGCCTCAAACTAGGACCAGAACTTCAGAACTTTGTGATCCAGTCCCAGTGGTCTTTGCATTACAGTGCACTACTTCCATGTTTCCTGAAGCTACAGGGACATTTTCTTTCTTTTTTTTTCTGTTATACTTTAAGTTTTAGGGTACATGTGCACAATGTGCAGGTTAGTTACATATGTATACATGTGCCATGCTGGTGCGCTGCACCCACTAACTCGTCATCTAGCATTAGGTATATCTCCCAATGCTATCCCTTCCCCCTCCCCCCACCCCACAACAGTCCCCAGAGGGTGATGTTCCCCTTCCTGTGTCCATGTGTTCTCATTGTTCAATTCCCACCTATGAGTGAGAATATGCGGTGTTTGGTTTTTTGTTCTTGCGATAGTTTACCGAGAATGATGATTTCCAATTTCATCCATGTCACAACAAAGGACGTGAACTCATCATTTTTTATGGCTGCATAGTATTCCATGGTGTATATGTGCCACATTTTCTTAATCCAGTCTATCATTGTTGGACATTTGGGTTGGTTCCAAGTCTTTGCTATTGTGAATAGTGCCACAATAAACATACGTGTGCGTGTGTCTTTATAGCAGCATGATTTATAGTCCTTTGGGTATATACCCAGTAATGGGATGGCTGGGTCAAATGGTATTTCTAGTTCCAGATCCCTGAGGAATCGCCACACTGACTCCCACAATGGTGGAACTAGTTTACAGTCCCACCAACAGTGTAATAGTGTTCCTATTTCTCCACATCCTCTCTAGCACCTGTTGTTTCCTGACTTTTTAATGATTGCCATTCTAACTGGTGTGAGATGATATCTCATTGTGGTTTTGATTTGCATTTCTCTGATGGCCAGTGATGGTGAGCATTTTTCATGTGTTTTTTGGCTGCATAAATGTCTTCTTTTGAGAAGTGTCTGTTCATATCCTTTGCCCACTTTTTGATGGGGTTGTTTTTTTCTTGTAAATTTGTTTGAGTTCTTTGTGGATTCTGGATATTAGCCCTTTGTCAGATGAGTAGGTTGCAAAAATTTTGTCCCATTTTGTAGGTTGCCTGTTCACTCTGATGGTAGTTTCTTTTGCTGTGCAGAAGCTCTTTAGTTTAATGAGATCCCATTTGTCAATTTTGGCTTTTGTTGCCATTGCTTTTGGTGTTTTAGACATGAAGTCCTTGCCCATGCCTATGTCCTGAATGGTAATGCCTAGGTTTTCTTCTAGGGTTTTTATGGTTTTAGGTCTAACGTTTAAGTCTTTAATCCATCTTGAATTGATTTTTGTATAAGGTGTAAGGAAGGGGTCCAGTTTCAGCTTTCTACATATGGCTAGCCAGTTTTCCCAGCACCATTTATTAAATAGGGAATCCTTTCCCCATTGCTTGTTTTCCTCAGGTTTGTCAAAGATCAGATACTTGTAGATATGCAGCATTATTTCTGAGGGCTCTGCTCTGTTCCATTGATCTATATCTCTGTTTTGGTACCAGTACCATGCTGTTTTGGTTACTGTAGCCTTGTAGTATAGTTTGAAGTCAGGTAGCGTGATGCCTCCAGCTTTGTTCTTTTGGCTTAGGATTGACTTGGCGATGCGGGCTCTTTTTTGGTTCCATATGAACTTTAAAGTAGTTTTTTCCAATTCTGTGAAGAAAGTCATTGGTAGCTTGATGGGGATGGCATTGAATCTATAAATTACCTTGGGCAGTATGGCCATTTTCACGGTATTGATTCTTCCTACCCATGAGCATGGAATGTTCTTCCGTTTGTTGTATCCTCTTTTATTTCATTGAGCAGTGGTTTGTAGCTCTCCTTGAAGAGGTCCTTCACATCCCTTGTAAGTTGGATTCCTAGGTATTTTATTCTCTTTGAAGCAATTGTGAATGGGAGTTCACTCATGATTTGGCTCTCTGTTTGTCTGTTATTGGTGTATAAGAATGCTTGTGATTTTTGTACACTGATTTTGTATCCTGAGACTTTGCTGAAGTTGCTTATCAGCTTAAGGAGATTTTGGGCTGAGACAATGGGGTTTTCTAGATATACAATCATGTCATCTGCAAACAGTGACAATTTGACTTCCTCTTTTCCTAATTGAATACCCTTTATTTCCTTCTCCTGCGTAATTGCCCTGGCCAGAACTTCCAACACTATGTTGAATAGGAGTGGTGAGAGAGGGCATCCCTGTCTTGTGCCAATTTTCAAAGGGAATGCTTCCCATTTTTGCCCATTCAGTATGATATTGGCTGTGGGTTTGTCATAGATAGCTCTTATTATTTTGAGATACGTCCCATCAATACCTAATTTATTGAGAGTTTTTAGCATGAAGCGTAGTTGAATTTTGTCAAAGGCCTTTTCTGCATCTATTGAGATAATCATGTGGTTTTTGTCTTTGGTTCTGTTTATATGCTGGATTACATTTATTGATTTGCGTATATTGAACCAGCCTTGCATCCCAGGGATGAAGCCCACTTGATCATGGTGGATAAGCTTTTTGATGTGCTGCTGGATTCAGTTTGCCAGTATTTTATTGAGGATTTTAGCATCAATGTTCATCAGGGATATTGGTCTAAAATTCTCTTTTTTGGTTGTGTCTCTGCCCGGCTTTGGTATCAGGATGATGCTGCCCTCATAAAATGAGTTAGGGAGGATTCCCTCTTTTTCTATTGATTGGAATAGTTTCAGAAGGAATGGTACCAGTTCCTCCTTGTACCTCTGGTAGAATTCGGCTGTGAATCCATCTGGTCCTGCACTCTTTTTGGTTGGTAAGCTATTGATTATTGCCACAATTTCAGCTCCTGTTGTTGGTCTATTCAGAGATTCAACTTCTTCCTGGTTTAGTCTTGGGAGAGTGTATGTGTCAAGGAATTTATCCATTTCTTCTAGATTTTCTAGTTTATTTGCGTAGAGGTGTTTGTAGTATTCTCTGATGGTAGTTTGTATTTCTGTGGGATCAGTGGTGATATCCCCTTTATCATTTTTTATTGCGTCTATTTGATTCTTCTCTCTTTTTTTCTTTATTAGTCTTGCTAGCGGTCTATCAATTTTGTTGATCCTTTCAAAAAACCAGCTCCTGGATTCATTAATTTTTTGAAGGGTTTTTTGTGTCTCTATTTCCTTCAGTTCTGCTCTGATTTTAGTTATTTCTTGCCTTCTGGTAGCTTTTGAATGTGTTTGCTCTTGCTTTTCTAGTTCTTTTAATTGTGATGTTAGGGTGTCAATTTTGGATCTTTCCTGCTTTCTCTTGTGGGCATTTAGTGCTATAAATTTCCCTCTACATACTGCTTTGAATGTGTCCCAGACATTCTGGTGTGTTGTGTCTTTGTTCTCGTTGGTTTCAAAGAACATCTTTATTTCTGCCTTCATTTCGTTATGTACCCAGTAGTCATTCAGGAGCAGGTTGTTCAGTTTCCATGTAGTTGAGCGGTTTTGAGTGAGTTTCTTAATCCTGAGTTCTAGTTTCTTTAGCTACATTTTCTTCAGTTATTAACTTAAATAAATTATTTGTTAGAGTCTTGGCTTGGTAAACATAAAAATTCCCCCTTGTTCTTTTTTTGTTGTTGTTGTTATAAAATAAAGTCAGTTTTATCTGGCATAGCTTTTTTATACTGTAGCTATCTCCTCTAAACATTCTGGAATGACCTAAGGTAAGAGGGGAAGAAAAGAGTGTGACTCACTTGTTTTGAGAGAGCTGAGAGAAGGGCGATTGGGAATAGTTACTCATTCCCATTTCCTTTTGGATATACCGGTACAAATAACACCTTGGGGCACTCTTCCCTTACTAGCCTGGGAGCATCCCTGATTGAATGTTTCCCTGGTATGGAGGCTTAGAAAGAAAGTTAAGATCGTCAGCCAGGTGCGGTAGCTCCCACCAGTAGTCCCAGCACCTTGGGAGGTCGAGGCAGGCAGATCACTTGAGGTCGGGAGCTCGAGACCGGCCTGGCCAACATGGTGAAACCCTGTCTCTACTAAAAATACAAAAAATTAGCCGGGCGTGGTGGTGGGTGCCTGTAATCCCAGCTACTCAGGAGGCTGAGGCAGGAGAATCGCTTGAACCTGGGAGGCAGAGATTGCAGTGAGCAGAGATTGTGCCACTGCACTCCAGCCTAGGCAGCAGAGCAAGACTCTGACTTAAAAAAAAGAAAAAAGAAAAAGAATGTTAAGATCAAACACTAATTCAGTAACCAAACATTTTTTTTCTAAGATATCTAAATTATTATTTTAAATGTTTGAATGGTGACAGAGATTGGGAAAAGAGGTATGTCAATTACATAATGAGGAACAACAAGTCTCCTGGTTCGTAGGTAGCTGAGTTCAACATACTGTTGGCTCTTGCCTGATTCTGTAATACAAGCCAAATGTTTGACTTCCTTTCCCCAGTGAGGCCTCTTTCCAGCGTAGTCATGTTCCCAGCCTTCTCATGTAGTCAGCCAGCTGGTCTCATGACAGAGATTGCTTGTCATGAAAAGTGAGTTCATCCCTTGACTCCTCACAATTGATTTTTACATTATTTCTCCTGTAACCAAATAAGAGGTATTCTTCACACTCTTCAAGTTTCAAGTGTTTGTTCCAGCACTTATATTTTAAGCACCACTCCAATATTGATTACCCTCTCTAGCCATAGAAAATCCTTTCAATTCATTCACAAAGTGCATCCTTGTTCCCTCAAAATTTCTACCTAATTTGAGTTTATATTTACAGTGGTGTTGCACTGTTGTCCCAGTGCAACACCACTTAGTTGAATTAACAAGTCATTTAAGAGCTCTACAGGGAAAAAAAGGTCAAAAGTTGAGGGAAAAAAAATAAGGAAATACCTTTTTTAAAATTTCACAGCTCTCAGAGACTTGATGTGATGGAATCAAAATGTAAAGTAAGCCAAGATTCCTGACTGTCAGTCATCAGTAAAAAGACTGACTTTATTCTGAAACAGATCCTTAAAAGAGAGATGCATCAGTAGCCGTTGGTCTAGCGTTCAAGTCAATTTTTAAATTCCTTTCTTCCTAAATCATTTTTCCCTATCCTACTGAATTGGAGAAGGGAATAAAAAGGCTTACGACATTGAAATAGACTACACTGTTCACTTTTTGCGTGATAATATGACCTGTCATTCTATCATAGAAAGCTACTAAGTTCATCTGGCATGTTTGGCTCTTCTGTTACTATATTCATGCCCCCAGTTAAACTAAGCTGTATAATTACCAAAATAATTTCCCCCTTGCTTTAAAAATGGATATCGCTTTTCCAGTTTCCAATGACATCTTTACATCATTTTGAGATGGTGAAAGCAGAAGATTTAGTTAAAAAGAGTTGATAGGAAAGAGAAGAGGAATAAAAAGATATTCTTTCCTTTTGCAGTACTCACATCCATGTGACCTATTCTGTGTTGACAGTCATAAATATTTGACTCATAATTTTTTTTGGTTTGTTTGTTTTTGAGACAGAGTCTCGCTCTGTCACCAGGCTGGAGTGCAGTGGTGCGATCTCGGCTCACTGCAACCTCCGCCTCCCAGGTTCAGGAGATTCTCCTGCCTCAGCCTCCTGAGTAGCTGGTACTACAGGCACATGCCACCACACCCGGCTAATTTTTGTATTTTTAGTAGAGACAGGATTTCACCATGTTGGCCGGGATGGTCTCTATCTCTTGACCTCGTGATCCTCCCGCCTTGGCCTCCCAAAGTGCTGGGATTACAGGCGTGAGCCACCGCGCCTGGCCTTTGACTCATATTTTAACTCACTTTTGGACTTCTTAAAGTTTGAACTAACTATCCCTTCAAGAAAAAAAAGAAAAATCTTACAATGTACTTCTTAGAGACTGATTATCTATTTCCATAACCCTCAGTCATAGACATTTCTATTTACACTAGGCTCTGTAAATTGAAGAATTTTCTTGTTATTATCCAGTAATCAAAGGTGGTTGGGTTACCTAGTATGGTGCCTCAACATATCAAGCAGTTCACTGTGCTTATTCTGTTCATGCTTCGAAGTTTAGCAGTGCTAATTAGTAGGTGTTGGCATTATAATCAAAGAATTTCAAGTAAATATCGAACATCAGACTTGAAGTATAAATTATCCTTAAGAATAAGGCGTTTAAGAAAATATTATCTAAAGCTGTAACCAACAGTTGGTTTTGTGAAAATCATCAGGTTCTAGATGTTTCTGCACTCTGACGAACACTGAAGATAGTGGGCCACATATTTAGGCATTGTCACCAATGTTGTAGGTAATAAATGCTTTGTGTTTACTGTCTCCATGTGGTTTATTATCAAATGGATACCATCTGTTGGAACCATTTTATACTAAAATTAACAGATAATTTATCAAGTAAAATGGACATTTCACTTTTTGAATATTTAAGATAAAGCATTAGATTCCAAAGAAATGTCCTATGTATGGCAGGCTGCTTCAGGCTATGCTGCTAGTTAGCTCAGATATAGAAAAAGGTCATGCTTTGCACCAACTTGGATGAAGAATTTTGCGAAGTATTAGGTTCTCATTTATGTTGCTTCCAACTAAATCAAGAAGACCTTGCCGAGATTGTGAAAATTGTGAAGAAGTGGCCATTGCCTTGGTTTGCAAGTCAAATTTACTGAAGTTGGAAAATTCAGAATGGAAATTATGTGTATTGTCAAAGAAACAATATATTCAGCATATATGTTTGTAAGTGCATATGAATGTGTGTTGTGTGTGTTTGTGCACACTTGTATATGTGTTATAGTGTATAGAAAAAGAGACAGAAAACAGAGACCTTAAGTTTATGTGTCAGGGAACACAATGTCAATAAAATAGTCATTCTAATTGCATCTCCCACCTGGCAAAATGAAAACTGTAATCTGAGTTAAACCTGATCTAATCTAAATGCCTGATGGCAATAAGGATGAGATTATTTCTTCCTCACTCCTAGAGGGCTACATACGAGTGTAGCCTTTTGCTACATTTGGGGTTTCATTTTGGGTCATCTCAGATTCTGAGTATTTGTTTTAGAATACTAAAGGTAGCAGAATGTAATTATATGAATTTAGGTGGATGTAATATTTCTCCAAGGACTTATTGAGCTCGTCATGTTATTATTAAGTGAACTTTCAAGTTAACTCAAAAGCTGTTATCTTTGTTTTGAGATTGAGTTGTACATTGTAGATAGGAAATTAAGTCATACTTCCTTAATATATGGAATGCCTTGACTACTCGAATTATGAAGTTGTTGTGTTGAAAGTTTAATACAATAGTCGAAAGCTCTTACGTTGCTAAGTATCAAACTGTGAGCTCACTGAGGGCAGTGCCTTTTTCTATCATGTTTTTATTATGCTGAATTCAATTATGTTTGAACTTGTTTAGTAAAAACATAATGCTAATTATTCTTGTATATCATTATTTAAATAAATAAACGATTTCTCTTTAATAAAAGTAAATAGGATCGTGCATATACACGATAAGGATGTTTCTCATTGTTTTTCCTCTGGTAGACTAGTCAATCCTTACCCATGACAGCACATGGTTTCTTTATGGAGTGAGCACAAGGTAAGCCCTAGAGCACTGTTTTGTTACCTTACGTTTGTCACTCTGCCTAGATGGTGATCTTTACAAAGTTTTAAATTTCACCCCAGGAGAATATTACATAATTTTTGTTGAAGCAAATTGGAGGTCCAGATTTTTGTAATCAGGTTTGAAGGATATGTTTCTCAATAATAGTTGAGCAACTTTTCTGTTGTTTTGCTTAGCTTACCAGTACCTTTCAGTAGATTTCAAGCTTCACATAATGGCTTGTGGAATTGCTTCCCTCTGCAGCCCTTTAAACTGTAAGTGTAAAATTCAGTCACTTGGATACCTGTAAATAGGAAGATTATATTTAAATTAGGGGAGTGGAGAAAGAAAAGATCGTTTACTCAAGTAGTAGTTCCTGGATTAGCATTAAACAACTTCTGGTTCTTTGGGATCAAAAGGGCTTTCAGCTTTCCAAGGTCATGTGCTGCATTTATGCATGTGAATATTAAACTTATGCAAAATAAAATGAAATTTCATGCTTGGGAGGAAAAGAAGTTTATGTGCTTTTTACCCTTACCTAAAGAACACTGTCCATTAAAGTAAGATAGAGTGAAAGAAGTTTTTTTCCTGCCTTCAATTTGGAAAATTTACATTAAAAGAACTTAAGATTTCCCACATAATATTTACAAACTTTTCTGAGCCTGCTCCATTGCTACATGATAATCTTCTATTTCTAAAGAATTACATGTATCTCCTGCTAAAAGGGGAGCTAAAGCAAGAGTTCAATAATCTTTTACCTATAACATATGCACATTTATGAAAAAAGTGGATACATTTGAAAAATTGCATGTATTTTTATGCTTCTATTTGTTACTATGGCAACCACCACAGTGCCTAGTATTTATGTTGTCTAAAATTCAGAACACCTTTTCAAAGAAATAAATATGCCAGAGCCATGCATTCTATTTACTTTAGTATTTAGAAAAATATTTATTCTAATGCATATTTTTGAAGAAAAATACCAATAAATAATGTAAACTTCAGCCTGGCTTAAATTAGTACCTTTTCCTGTAGTGTTTTTAAAATCAAAATAATTACATTTATTCTTCTTTCTTTTCCTTGTTATAAAAAATCAGAATAGTGAACAGAAATAATGAATTTTTAAAATTCATAAGTCAATCTTGAAATGTAGTTTTTTGATGTCTCCTGTTTTTATGACTTAATATTTTGATTCATAATAAATTTCTGAAAATATAAAACATAAACAATTCAATCAAATATTTAATGTTAGCTACATAAATTAAAAAATGTATTTGCATTTCTGATTAAAGGTGATTTTTAACATCTAGCAACAAAAGATTTCTATTTTGTATTTGAAATGAAAGGTATGGTTGCTATTACTTAGTTAAATTATTTAAATCATTTTCTGACGTATGTGATACATAAATATAATTTTTTGAGTGTTAAACAACAGAATGGAAATTATGAAGCATAAAATCAGACATGTTTCATGTCACATATTACCTGTTAAGACAAGCTGCAATGCAGCATTTAAGTACAACAGAACAATGAGCATATTGTTTCTGATACTTGTAAACAGGATGGATCTACAGTTTCACAGTTTATGTTGACAGTATCTTTGTGGGAAATGTAATTATCAAATGAATTATAACATGTCTTAGTATCAGGATTATTAATAGTAATTTTAATTACCTTTTTCAAGATAATTGGATATGTTCTCATAAGTATATGAGAAAGGGGACACTGGGCTAATTAGATATTTTGAACTTAGTTATCTTTAAAATATCTAGGAGCTTAACATACATATTCTATATTTTAGGAATTTCTTCTTTTAATTAAATGTTTTCCTAAGTAGAACTAAAATAATTTATAATTTATAAAATCTCCCTGATGATCCCTTGATATTCCTCCTTGAGTATTGATATAATTTTTAAAAATTGAATAATTAAAATTGTAAAAATTAAATGTTCACTACCAGTTATAACATTTTTCTAAAACTGGCAAAGTTAAGAGATAATATTTTGCTCCACTAATGGGTACTGTTAGATGGGCTTTCATATAATACTTCTGATAATTTTAGAAGTTGATTTATTTCCAAAAAGTAATTCATTTTGGAGATACACAACAGCCTTAAAAATGTGCATATATTTTGATCCAGGGATTTAGCTTCTAGACTTAAAGAACTATTCAGTGGTGTGGTCAAAGGTATATATACAAGAATCACAGCTTTAATCACAATAAGAAGCATTTGGAGCCACTAACTAGGATATTAAACAGGTAATAAAAAATCATGTTCTCAACAAATATTTAGTAACATAGTAAATATTTAGTAACATACGCTCATTCAGTGAACCCAGCTGTATGTATTTTATTTTATTTTTTTGGAGGCTGGGTCTTGCTATGTTGTCCAGTATGGACTTGAACTCCTGGGCTCCAGCAATCCTCCTGCCTCAGCCTCCCAAGGTAGCTGGGGGTACACGTGTGAGCCACCACAAACAGCCATGTATATGAACTGTATATTTAATATGGCCACACCTTTGTTTTAAAAAAATCTGTAAAATCATAAAGACTAAAAACAAAAAAATTACAATGATTACTAATTCCAAGAATAGATTTTTAAATATATTTTGTAAAATCTTAATATGAGCATTTCTGTGATAACTTCAGTTATAATCATTTAAATTGTCTTTAATAAGACAAGTTAATTAAAATTGTGTTTACATTCATTATAATGAAAATTCAACCAGTTGGAGGAACAATATTATCTTGTCAACATTGAATTCATTGTCTTGTTTTCAAAGTCTGGAAATAGTTGGTACTCAACAATTTGTTGATTGAATGGATAGATGATGGGGTCAGGAATTCGCAAAGTGGTTTTAGGGAAAACACATTTGGAGGGCCACAAAGGTACCTTGTTTATGTTTACATAAAATTGATTTGTTCATCATAACAATAGATGACAGGATAATAAAGTGATAAGAATATGCAAGAACTGGTTTGCTTAACACAGTCTGGTAGCATAGAATAAGGCAACAGCTAGATAGCTAGATTTACCGTAGGATATTAGTTTGTCTAGTTGTACAATTATAGCTATTAAACAAGCAAAAACATTTGTCACTGAAATTCCAACAGGAAACATAACTTATTTGAGTCTGGAACTGTAGTTCTTAACCTCCCCACTTAAAAAAAAATAAGCTATTATTTTTATAAAATGAATTTTGATAATGCAAGTTTACTCAGGGATATAACTATTGCATTGTAGAAGAGTAGACTATTCCACAGTAAACTATATTTTAGTTGTTGTAAAATTAATTTTAAAAAGAATAATTTGGCAATGCAGGTGTATATATGTGATTTACATATTTACACAACACCAGGAAGGTAGATTTAATGAAGAAATCAAGTGTCTTTCTTAATTGAATTGAATGGTTAGCCTTCTGGACTAGCTCTATTGGAGATGGGGCTTTGCAAATGAGATCTCCATGTCTCCTAGTAAGGTTGAGTGTGGCAGCAACTTATATCTCCTGAACCAACAGTCATTATCTACTTTGACAATATTTTAACACACCTGAAGTTCCTACCACAGTGTATAATGGCTTCCACTGTGGTATGGGGATGCCGTTTCAGCATTGGTGGAGGTAACTGGCAATTAAATAGGTGAGGGCATGTTGAGTGGCAGAAAATAAGGTATTTGCTGCTGGAATGCTGCAGCAGTTTTCAAGGGACAGATACAACCTCTTGTTTAGTGGAATATGGCCTAAAACTCTACCTAAGTGTTTCCAGTGTACATTAGGACTGGCCTTTGAGAGGTAATATCTGACTGTTTTCTGTCTTGGAAGCTAGAGAAAGAGACCTGAAATCTTTGAAGATGATGGTAATTCCAGATTTCTTTTCTTCACTTGTGTCTTTCTTCCACATGCATGCTTTTCTCTGCTGTGTCATCTCCATCCCACTAGAAAATGTGAGTTCGAATATTCAATTCTACTATAGAAGAAAACAAATGAGATGATGAAATTTGTAAGAAATTTTGATGATAGATAGGAAGTCAGCAAGTATGTTATGAGATACAGGTGAAACTCCTAGCATGTATTAATATAGATAAGAGTAAGCAAGTAGTTTGAGAAAGAAAAGCAGAATTTAGAATATGTACTAAATATACATAGTAAGCAAGTTACTAACATGTAAAACTTGCCAAGACAAAATAAATGGGTTATGAAGGAATAGACAAGTGTGTATTTATTTGATAGAAAGGAAAAACAATTTATGATCTTGTCACTTCTGGGCTGACAGCTGTGCCATGCCACCTACTTATGACCTCCAGTAAGGTCCTATATTGGCCCATGGTACTATGCCCAAGAAATGCAAATAAAACCCATAGTTCTTCACCATTAATTGGCAAGGTACCTCTTTATTCAGGTATAACTGCCCCTTTGTCTCTCTCATTATCAAGTATGTGCCTTTGACCCCTGGCACCTTCTATCTTGGCCACCTGACTCAAATCTGAACTCTGGTTCTTACAACACATTATTATGGGGAAGGCTGATGTGGCACAGAGAAAACAGAGCATGTGACTAGCATGTAACGCAGGATACATATAGGGTGGTCCTGCCACTCACATCCTATTATAAGAGTGTCAACCTATTTCATTGCTTTCCCCTTGCTTTTTGTTTTCCATTTATTTAGTAAGTTGTATGAAATGAACATGTTAATTTGGTCTGTGAGCCCTCAGATTTAGTGTGCCTGGTAATGTACTTGGTGGCTACCATTACATCAAGGTAATTTTCTACTTGACAGTATGCTCTACTTTGAACTTTACTAACTCTCCCTCACAATTTGGGATTTTGAACTAATGCATTGATCATCACTATCTGGTTTAGGGACCTAGACCAAGCTACGAAAGGAGTGTTAAATTATGGTGATTCTATGGCAGTCTTAAGCACCTAGTTCACTGTGAAGGAATTATGAGAACCTGTTTCTCACCCTTCCTCTAGGGAAATGCAGGAGAGCTAAGCAAGTCCCAATTTACCTGGGGAAGAAGATAAGGAGGTTGTTTGTCAGCTCTGTCCCACTTGAATTCTCTCCTTACTGCTGAGGCTGGAGGTAGTTATTGTCTAGAACAAGAACTTCAAATATTTTTGCTCATGTACTCTCTAATACAATTTTGAAAAGCATATACTCTCCTGTACATTTTAAGTTGACACTTAACATTTCTTGTTATAAGCTTAAATAGTTGGAAAATATGTGATTTCTGATATGCTATGAATGTTGACATTTAAAAAATAAAACTATTTAAAATATATCTAATAGAATCTGAATTCCATATGATTTGTTTAAAATATTTTTTAATGAACATTTTCAAACACATACAAGAGGAAAAACGGTAAAACCTCCATGTACTCTTCACCCAAGTTAAACAATCATCAGCTGTCTGACAGTCTTACCTTTACTCCCTTACTCTTTTCTATTGAAGTATTTTAAGGCAAACTCCAATCATATTGTACTCACATATACCTCGGTTTATATGTCTAACAAAAAAGATTTATCATGGTAGTACCATTTATTCATATTCAATACAATCATTTCCTTAATAAAATCATTTCCTTAATATTAAGTAGTAAGCAGTATATATTCATGTGTCACCAATTGTCTCAAAAATGTATGTCTGAAGAAAGTTTGTTCAAATCAGGAACTAAATAATATTTATGCATTGCATTTAGTTGAAATGATTTCTTTTTTTTTTTTTTTTTTTTTTTTTGAGACGGAGTCTCCTTCTGTCGCCCAGGCTGGAGTGCAGTGGTGCAATCTTGGCTCACCGCAATCTCCGCCTCCCGGGTTCAAGCAATTCTCCTGCCTCAGCCTCCTGAGTAGCTGGGATTACAGGCGTGTGCCACCATGCCGGGCTAATTTTTTTTTGTATTTTTAGTAGAGACAGGGTTTCACCATATTGGCCAGGCTAGTCTCGAACTCCTGACCTTGTGATCCACCCTCCTATGATTCTTGAGTCTCTTCATTTGTAACATTTTTCCTTTCTCTGTTTTCTCTGCCATGTCTTTTAACATGTTTCTCTATTTCACATACTTATGAGAAAAAACCCTAGAAGTTAGATCTAGAAACTTGGTTAGATTCAGTGTTTATGGCAAGAATCCTTCATAGGTATTCCTGTGTTTATAATTCCTGTGGAATTACACAAGGAGAAGCAATTTCTAGTTGTCCTATTTTAGTGACATTAATGTGAATCAATAGTATATCAGTCAGATTCATCTCCTATAAACTTCCCTTTGTCTTTTCATCTCATGATGACAAGCATTGCCTGGACAAACATTATCTGGGTCCATTATTTCATTAGAGTCTATGCAATGGTGATTTTTCTAATTCTTTTATTCCATCTATATTTATTAGCTATGATTCTTCTATTAAGAATAATTTTCTTTCATTATCTATTTGTTTCTCCTGAATTATAGCCAACTCAGGAAAGAAGGAAAAGTACATTTCTCTTCCAGTATACTAAATTGGTGGTCCAGCAATCTCCAAAGACGAATGATGAGAATTGAAGTATAAATCTTAATTTTAGTATTATTAGATACTCATGGATTTATATGCTTGATGTTTTCATCTTTTATTTTTTTTTTTACTTTTCAGAGTGTCCCATTTTTGGCCAGTGGAATTACCTTTAAGTTGACTCCTGTGTGCTTTTGACACTCCCCACATGAAAGAGTGTGTAGTAGAGCTCTCTAGAGAAACAGAGAAACAACAGGATGCATGTGAATATAGGTGATGGAGATAGAGTTTCTAGTTTTAAGAGAGTTCTTTGTTTTAAGCATGACAAGGTGTCACACGTACACATATACATAACGTTTCTAGCCCCAGACCTGAATTCTATAGAGATTTTAAAACGTTAAAAACATTAACAAGCTCTTCTTCAACAAAGTTTTTCCTTAAACTTACGTTTATTCCATTTTTTCATAGAATTTTATCATTTATAATTGAAAGTTTTTTATAGGCTACTCTGTCTTACATAACATGTTGTTATCTGCAATAACCACATACTATAATAAGGTTTTTTTTAAAAAATGGCCTTTGACCATAAGGTTATAAGTGTAGAAAAATTTCATCAGGATTGGGTTTTCATTATAATTATTGGTAGCATGCAATTATTCAAAACAGCATGGATATATTACCATTTCTGATATTTATCAAACATAAGAAAATTTATGAAAAAATATGTTGATAATATAGGTTGGGGAGAGCATGCATAATTTCTTGATTAAAGGAATTGTGGAGTTGTTCCTTGGTTTGAAACCTTGGAATAGGCAAAAAGGAAATGCTTTTCTTTTGTAAAATGAGAAATAGAGACTGTCCAAGATTAAACTCTAGTTAGGACAGGCAGCTTCTTATGCAGATGTATTTTTTTAAAGTGCCAGCTTCTTAGGCAGATGTATTCTTTTAAAGTGCCTATATATAGAAGGCAAGAATCTAGAAATTGGTTTTCTTACAACTATCCGCACTTGCATGCCCTTTGGAAAATCTACATGAACTGTTATTGGTAGTTAGTGTTCAACTTGTGGACCACCAGGACTCTGTTCTCCAGTAGCTGACACATGGTGCCTACTATGTGCCAAACACATCAACTTTATGAAGTGGTTACTATTTTTATCCCCATTTTGCAGATGAAGAAACTGAAGCACAAAGATGTTACGTAACTTGTCCAAAGTGACACAGCTTGTAAGTGGGCAGCAGGGAGGCAAACCCAGTCACTGTGGCTCCAGAGTCCAGACTCAACCACTAAGGACAGGAATGTCTTTTGTAAAAAAGGATGGAATGGTACCCTAGGTGGGGGTATCAGAGGGGAGCACATAGTGATCTGAAATTGTTAAGAAATAGGAAGTAAAGGAAGATTGTGGTTTTTCTGTGTGTCAGTGAATAAACTATGCATGTGTTAATAAAACATAAGTCAATGCCTTTATCCGTATTCTTTAGAGTACCATAGTATTTAGTGTCAGTCAAATTAAAATTAACACATTTTTATTTCTTTAATTTCTAATGAACGATTAGTTCTCATTTAATTGTCAATGTGCAGGGGTGTTATCTGAAACCCTGTTACAGTCTTGTATTTTGCATATTCTACTTAGCCTGTGAATATGTTCTACTTCTAGTGAGGATGACACTGTTTATAGATACATTACAGAAGAAATATTTCATTTAATAATGGTAATGATTTCACACTTATATAACTAATCCTACTGAAAGCATCTTGAAAGTATTTTTCATTTATTTATTTATTTATTTATTTATTTATTTTGAGATGGA
The DNA here is from genome assembly GCF_000001405.40 of Homo sapiens. Taxonomy (NCBI): domain Eukaryota; kingdom Metazoa; phylum Chordata; class Mammalia; order Primates; family Hominidae; genus Homo; species Homo sapiens. The sequence continues at coordinate 31,343,911 of NC_000011.10, read as the reverse complement.
GTCTCACTCTGTTGCCCAGGCTGGAGTGCAGTGCCATGATCTCGGCTCACTGCAATTTCCGCCTCCTGGGTTCAAGCGATTCTCCTCCCTCAGCCTCCCAAGTAGCTGGGATTACCGGCATCTGCCACCACCCCCAGCTAATTTTTTGTATTTTTAGTAGAGACAGGGTTTCAATATGTTGGCCAGACTGGTCATGAATTCCTGACCTCAAGTGGTCTACCCATCTCGGCCTCCCAAAATGCTGGGATTATAGGTGTGAGCCATTGTGCCCCGCCCTTATTTTATTTTTTTAAGAGACAGGGTCAGGCTGGGTGTGGTCGCTCATGGCTGTAATCCCAGCACTTTGGGAAGCCAAGATGGGCAGATCACCTGAAGTCAGGAGTTTGAGACCAGCCTGACCAACATGGAGAAACCCCATCTCTACTAAAAATACAAAAATTAGCCAGGCATGGTGGCGCACACCTGTAATCTCAGCTACTTGCGAGGCTGAGGCAGGAGAATCACTTGAACCTGGGAGGTGGGGGTTGCAGTGAGTCAAGATTGTGCCATTGTACTCCAGCCTGGGCAACAAGAGTGAAACTCCATCTCAAAAAAAAGACAGGGTCTTACTCTGACACCCACGTTGGAGTGCAGTGGCACAGTCATACTTAGTGCAACCTTGAAACTCCTGGGCTCAAGTGATCCTCTCGCCTCAGTCTACCAAGTAGTCCTAGCTAGGCTCAAGTGATCCTCTCGCCTCAGTCTACCAAGTAGCTAGGACTACAGGCATGCACCACTCGGCCTGGCTAATATTTTAAAATTTTTTATTTGTAGAGATGGGGTCTTGCCATTTTGTCCAACCTGGCCTTGAACTACTGGGCTCAAGAGATCCTCCCACCTTGGCCTCTGAAAATACTGGGATTATAAGCATGAGTCACTGCATCCAGCTTTGACTCCTGAACTACTTTATGGGAAAAAAACAAAAAGGTATACCTACCACTAAAATAATTACCTCTTTCACTGAAAGTTAGGATTATAATTGTGCATAAGTAAAAAATAAAACTATTTCTGTTTTCTTCAGGTTATTTTTGAATAGTTATATTCAAATTTCGTTTTTTTAATAATTGGATTATATCATAAACACACCAGGACAGTCAGTGGATTTTTTTCTGCAAGTGGTTTTACTCTTTAATCATATACTTTTGCCTTGCTATGCACAGCTGGATTTTTGCTTATAAGCATTTCCCAATTCAGACTCAACCTATGAAAGATTTCAAAAGACAATGGTTGTTAAAGATGCTTTAGAAGAGAGCCTCACCCCTCCTATCATGAAATATTTAAGGGAGGAGGAGAGAGAGGGCCAACAGAGGAGTGCTGGGTGGACAAAAGCACCCTCTCTTATTAAACTATGTATAAACAGATCTTTTTCTTATTTGATGCAGATTAGGACATTTATTGAATGTTTACCATGTGCCAAGCCCTGTGCCAAATGCTTCCAAGTTCACCATTTCATTTAATGCTCATAACCATGTAGTTACCCTGTTTTGCACAAAAGAAGACTGAGGCTGAAAAAATTCATGATACTTAAGGCCACATAGTTAGAAAGTGCAAGAGAAACACGTGATCATTCTCTTATGTCAATAGGTATGAATTCCTCCATAATGTTTGTGCGTGTAAGTTAGTTATATTGCTTTTATTTTTCCATATGCTTAGTTAGCAGCAAGTGTAGTCTCATAATCTTTGAGCTTCCCATCTCCTGTAGATTATCTGTGAACCTTAGGTGTTAACTGTCGTTCAAAAGGAAAGTTCTCCAGCTGTCCCCTCCCTAATGAGAATGACCCTTAATGTCAGTTAGTTTGTCTGTTGGTGCTGCTGGTACTATTGGTGGTGCTGCCATTGCCATAGCTTCTTGCTGACCCACATCACCATTACTGATCTCATTGGCATCCATCACCTGACAGGCGCTATTGGTCCTTGCTTCAGGAAAGTTTTTCTGGCACCAGTTCCACCTCAGCCTTGCAAGGCAACATGGTCTTTGAAAGAGGGTATATTAGTCAGGGTTCTACAGAGAAACAGACCAAAAAAAATGTGTGTGTGTGTGTGTGTGTGTGTGTGTGTGTATAGTCATGCATTGCATAAGAGTGTTTTGCTTAAGGATGGACTACATTTACAACGGTACTCCCATGAGATTATAATGGAGCTGAAAAATGCCTATCACCTAGTGACATAGCTGTTGTAATGTTGTAGTGCAGTGTATTACTTTTTCTATGTTTAGATACACAAATACTTACTATAGTGTTAAAATTGCCTACGGTGTTCTACACAGTTACATGCTGTACAGGTTTGTAGCCTAGGACCAATCAGCTATACTATAGAGGCTAGGTGTATAGTATGCCATCTAGGTTTGTGTAAGTATACTGTATGATATTTGCCCAGTGAAATCACCTAATGGTGGGTTTCTCAGAACGTATCCCCGTTGTTAAGCAACACATGTCTATCTATCTATCTATCTATCTATCTATCTATCTATCTATCTATCTATCTATCTATAAAACTGGAATTTCCATTCTTAACCAAACCAAACATAACTCAGAGATTCTACTCGCAGGGTGAATTGGTCTCAATGTTATTCTGTCATCACTTTCTTCTGGGACCAATACAATGCTTCACTGCAGTGGGCACTGTTGTTGAATTCCCTACCTGTGAAAGAAGTTTCTGGAGAACTTTGTCTTGAAATGCACATACTTAGCCAAGTTCTTTCTTCTGAACCATCCTTTTTGCTGCCCCCTTCTGGAAGCCAGAGTCACCTGCAGAAAAACTCCTCCCTACTAGCTCTCCAAGATGTGGAAAGGCAAAGTCCACCAAACTCCAGCAGGTTCACGGGAGGCTTTCATGTTGGACATCTCTTACTCATCAGTCAACCAGTGGTGTCCTTAACTGCTTGCCAGATACCTCAAGTTCCATGGATCCAAAACCAAATTCATTCTCTCACCCTCCACCAATTTCTCTTCCGCCTTGTTTTCTCCTTCCCTTCTCTATCTACTCATTCTGTAATCAATACATATATATATGAAGAGAGAGAGAGAGGAAGATTAATTGATTTTTAAGAATTGGCTCCCGTGAGTGCAGAGGCTATGTGAGTCCAATATCTGATGGGTAGGCTGGCAGGCTAGAGACTTAGAGAAGGGGTGCAATTCAAGTCCAAAGACAACCTGCTGGAAGAATTCCTTCTTACCCAGGGGAAGTCAGTCTTTTTTCTATAAAAGCTTTAAACTGATTGGATGAGACCCACATCACATTATGGAGGGTAAACTGCTTTACTCAGAGTCTACACATTTAAATGTTAATCTCATCCAAAAAAACACCTTCACAGAAAACACCCAGAACAATGGTTGATCAAATAGCTGGTCACCATGGCCCTGCCAAGTTGACCCATAAAATTAACCATCACAGTGGCTAACACAATTCCTTCAGTATTGTGCTCAATTACAGTACCCATCACTGGTTCCCCCAGATCACAGCTACAGTTACCTAGCCTTTTAAATCCACCTCTCCTTCTCCTTTCCTCCCTCCCTCCTGCTCCTCTCCTCCTCTCTCTCAGAACCACATACACTCCACACAGTCATTTTCTTCCAAGGTCTCACTGCCCCAGAATAGTGTGGGGTAGATTTGTCTGCTGCAGACCAATTCTTGCTAATTTTTTTTTATATCCTGGGAAATCCAGCAATTTAACTTAAAGGCCTTTTAGGCACAGATTTTAAAAATGCAAAAAGGCCCCGTGTATCATCCCTGGGTAAAGGAAACCAGACCTCTGAATTAGGAAATCCCACTTACCACTGGGAGTGGAGCTAGTGAGGAGGAAATGCTTTTTGTTCTTCCTTGAAGAGTAAAACATTATTTTCATCAAGATAAAAACAGAGACTTTTTGATGCCTTCTTTAAAAAGCATCAAAGAGTAAATCTTTGGTGAGTCCCATGGGTACATATGCAACCACAGAGACATAGGATAGTACCTTTTCATTTAAAAAGGAGGCTATTTAAATATAGATAGGTGCAGTCTAGACACTTGATTTGCCTGAGACAGGCCCAGTTTGGATGATAAATTATTTGGCTAGTTTAGATAGAAAGAATTAACATTGAAAATTTGTCAAAACTATCTACTTTAGTCCTGTAAGGAATCCTTTCTTCTGTGATTACAATGTTGCTGCTGTGAACAAATGTGTTCTTGGCATCTGAAGTACAATTTCCCATATTTCTTTTATAAATATTTATTGCATACCTACTATGTCCTAGACACTGAATTAAGCACTATGAATGCAAAGTGAACAGGACAGACTAGTCTCAGCTCTCATAAAATTTTTTTTAACTATAATATTATTGGAGAGTTAATTCAGGTATTACTAGCATATATTGAATGAGGCAAGGAAACTGATCAATGTATACATTTGTTTCCATAGTATCTTATTCTGGGCTGCCATAACAAAATACCTTAGGCTGAATCGTATACAAACAATAGAAATTTATTCCTCACAGTTCTGGAAGCTAGGATGTCTAAGATCAAGGCACCAGCAGTGTCTGGTGAGTGCCTGCTTCCTTATTGATAATGTGCCCTTGCGTTGTAAAAAGAGTCCACCCTTATGACTTAATTGCCTCCCTAAAGGCTCTGCCTCATAATAACATCACATTGGGGATTAAGTTTCAACTTAGAAATTTGGCAGGGGGTGGAGGGTGGCCACAAACATTCCAACCATAGCACATAGGAAAATTCATTCTTAATTTCAGGCAACCAACTGACTTAAACATGAACTTTGGGAAATGGAAAAAAGAAGTCTATTTCATTATACCAAGTTGGCTTCTAGTTTCTAAATCATCAACAGTGTAGGAGCAGTGTGAGCAAAGGTCTAGAGACTGGAAATAAATAGCATGTACAAGATGTTAAGAAAAGTTTACATTGAGGATGGGTAAGAAAAAGAGGTTTATTTCTTACTCATATAAAAGTTTATTTCTTACTTACAATGTAAAGTTTACATTGAGGACGGGTAAGAAAAAAAGGCTTATTTCTTACTCATATAAAAGTCTGGAGGGCTAGTATAATGCTCTAAGATCTTCTATTTTGTTGCTGTGCTGTGAGAAGCTTCCATTCCCAAAGTCACAGATGGTGCATTCATGGCTATTCCAGCTTTAAGCCATGATCACATTCCAGATATCAGGAAGGAAGAAAAGAAGGCTGAAAATTATGCCCCATACCCCCTTCTTTGGTGACAGTTCCCAGAAATCACATATGCCACTTCTGCTTACATTCTGCTGACCAGAATTTAGTCATGTGGTCAAGTGGCAACATGTAGATGGAAAAAAGGCTTCAGCTAGACACTGTAAAAGGGAAGAGATTCTAGTGAACATCTAACAGTTTACTCCACAATCCAACCTTTTAGCCACCAAAATATCTTTGGTACGCCCTTCTTCCTGTAGATAGAACATAACCACCTATTCTTGATCATACATGCCTGTTCTAGCTTTTAATTATGTATGTGAACCCCCAAATATGATCCATTTGAATATGGCTCAGAATCTAGGCTGTTGGGTTAATGCACTGTCCTTTTCATTAAGTCCAGGTGGTCTAGTAACCTATAAACTAAAAGTTAATGCATTTGCCACATCACACCTAACAGAATGGATGTATATTTGGAAAGGAGGAGAATAGGATTAACACAAGAGTCACTGGTTTATAGTGGTTATCAATTCTGCTAGGCTAGGTAGGAATTGTAAAAGTTCCTTTCTCTAGCAATGGAGCAATTTCCTTGATTAGTTCATCAGAGTACTCCTAATTCTGCCTTTTGGAAAGGGTCTTCCTTGTACATTGTACTTCCTGACCACATCTGATGTGGTCAATGGAGAATTTGCTGTTCTGGAGTGCTGAACAGATCTGCAGCCTGCTTCCTGCTGATACAAATGTGGGCATGAGATTTGAATACAGGTCAGTCATGTTTTTCGGCCAGCTTTGTGGTTTCTTCAGTAATTTAACACTGCTCCTTCCTCTTCCCCTAAATTAGTAGACTTCCAGTCTATAGCTAATCCCATGTTCACAGCCAAAGATCACGTCTAGACATTATTTTTAAGCCTGAGTACTGGTTTTTTATTCCCTGACTCTGTGCTTCAACATAAAGATGATTCCTTTGAGGTCACCTAACACAATAAGCTTGGGTTGAAAAACAGCAACCTTAATCTGATCTTTGACAGCTAGGCTAGTTTGATTGATTGATTGATTGATTGATTGAGACAGGGTCTCACTCACCCAGGCAGGAGTGCAGGGGCATGATCATGGCTCACTGCAGCCTCAATCTCCTGGGCTCAAGCAATCTTCCTGCCTCAGCCTCCCAAGTAGCTAGGACTAGAGGTGTGTGCAATCATACCCAGTTAAGTTACTTTTTGTAGAGTCAGGGTCTCACTGTGTTTTCCAGACTGGTCTCAAACTCCCGGACTCAAGCAGTCCTTCCTCTTCAGCCTCCCACAGTGTCGGGATTACAGGCGTGAGCCATCACACCCAACCAGGGAAGAATTCTTAAAGAAAAGTGTTGTTAAAAAGCTTAGAACCACAGTCTCATCTTATGTAGCAATCACTGTAGAGTGCTACTTTTTATAGTTTCAGTTTGGGATACACAAACAGTTGAATTCTTCAACCCTGCAAGGCCCAAAGTCCCAAATTACTAGACTCTGAGTTAAATTTATATTTTAAGCCATTCTAGTGTTATCCTTATTTCTTTGCTCTAAGTAAATACCATGTATTTTAGGTTTTTGAAAGCAATTTACTTCAAGAGAATGTCAGGTATTTCAGGATTAGGTTTAACTGCAAGTAACAAAGATCCAAATTAATACTGTTTTGAACAAACTAGGTGTTTCTTACTCATGTAAAAGTCTGGAGGTAGATAGTCCAGGGTTGGTATGGTACTCCATGTTGTCAGAGGTTCAGACTCCTTCAATCTTCCCTCAGTCCTGGCTTTCATTTTCAGCATCTCATCAAAGTTAAAGATGACCAATCCAGGACTAGCCATTGTTTTCATTCTAGGTAGCAGAAGGAAGGAAAAAGAAGGGTACACTCACTTGCATGGACCATCTCCACTAACATGCCATTGGCCATAACATGTTCATATGGTCCTGCCCAGCTACAAGGAAAACTGGAAAATACAGTCTTTATTTTAGGCAGCCATATGTCTCAGTTAAAAATCAGGGATTCTAGTTTTGTAGAAGGAACAAGGAATGGATATTGGCAGACAATTGGCAGTCTCTGCCACAAAGTTTATGCAATTATTAGAAAATACTAACATATGGACACATTAGGACATTGCAATACAATTATTTCAATGCATTTGGTGAATTCTTAACAAAGAATTCAAAATTGTCTTTTTAAAAAAATCATATTGCTAAACACTCCATGAGCTTACTAGTTCTCGCAAAGTCCTAACAATGTCCTGCAAGGTCCTGTGTTGTGTCCACCTCCTCCATACCCTTTCTAACCTCATCCCAACTACATTCTTCCTTGTTCATCTATTCATCTACTTTTGCTGTTCTTCACACTTGCCAGATATATCCCACCTTAGGACCTTTTGGATGCCTGCCCTAAGGCACCCTCCTGGGTCTCCCTGGGTATCTGCATGACAAACTTTCTTGCCTCTTTCATATCTTTGCCCAGATGCTACCAGCTCTATGTGGCCTACACTAACAACCCTATTTAAACTTGCAATTCCCTCCACTCCCACATACTCCCAATTTACCTTTTCCTCATCAGTTTTCCCCTTAGCATTTATTACCTATTAACATCTGTACAATTTGCTTATTTATGATGTTTATTGTTTATTATCTGTTCCCACTTGAAAGTAAGCTGCATAGGGCACAATGGTTTTTTTCTGCTTTGTTAACTGATTATAAGTGCCTAGAACAATGTCAACGAATAATGCGTGAATGAATGAAAGCATTTATTTCAGAACAACACTAAAAAAGTAAAAGGATTTTTTTTTACCTTAAAAGTAATATATTTTCCTTAGGCCTGCCATATAATCTTAATTTGGGACTCCTCTTCATTGTCTTAGTGGGCCACTTCAGAGATGAGATTTTGTAGCTATTTTAATCAGTATTGTGAGACCAGGATTACACCCTGGAAAGGATCCTGTAGATCAGGGGTCCCCAGCCTCCAGGTACTGGTCCCCAACCCTTGGGTCTGTAGAAAAATTGTTTTCCATGAAACTGGTCTCTGGTGTCAAAAAGGTTGGGGACTGCTGCTATAAATAACATTCTTTGACATGATTTCTTATGGGCACATTGTTTTGGTCTTTTGGTAAAATTAGATTGTCTGTGTGTGTTACTCTATTTTCCAGATTGCAAATAAGAAAATTCCAGATTCCATTCCAAGATGGCCAAATAGGAACAGCTCCAGCCTGCAGCTCCCAGCGTGATTAATGTAGAAGATGGGTGATTTCTGCATTTCCAACTAAGGTACCTGGTTCATCTCATTGGGACTGGTTGGACAGTGGGTGCAGCCCACGGAGGGGAAGCTGAAGCAGGGCGGGGCATTGCCTCACCCCGGAAGTGCAAGGGGTCGGGGGATTTCCCCTTCCTAGCCAAGGGAAGCCATGACAGACGGTACCTGGAAAAATAGGGTGCTCCAGCCCAAATACTGCGCTTTTCCAATGGTCTTAGCAAATGACACACCAGGAGATTATATCCCGCACCTGCTTCAGTGGGTCCCATGCCCACGGAGCCTTGCTCACTACTAGTGAAGCAGTCTGAGATCGACCTGCAAGGCAGCAGCCTGGCAGGAGGAGGGGTATCCACCATTGCTGAGGCTTGAGTAGGTAAACAAAGCAGCTGGGGAAGCTTGAACGGGGCAGAGCCCTCCGCAGCTCTGCAAGCCCTGCTGTGTCTAGACCCCACCTCTGGAGGCAGGGCATAGCTGAACAAAAGGCAGCAAAAACTTCTGCAGACTTAAACGTCCCCGTCTGACAGCTCTGAAGAGAACAGTGGTTCTCTCAGCACTGTGTTTGAGCTCAGAGAATGGACAGACTGCCTCCTCAGTGGGTCCCTGACCCCCTTGTACCCTAACTGGGAGACACTTCCCAGCAGGGGCCAACTGACACCTCATATAGGCGGGTACCCCTCTGGGACGAAGTTTCCAGAGGAAGGATCAGGCAGCAGTATTTGCTGTTCTGCAATATTTGCTGTTCTGCATCCTCTGCTGGTGATACCCAGGCAAACATGGTCTGGAGTGGACTTCCAGCAAACTCCAACAGACCTGCAGCTGAGGGACTTGACTGTTAGAAGGAAAACTAACAAACAGAAAGGAATAGCATCAACATCAACAAAAAGGACATCCACACCAAAACCCCATCTGTAGGTCACCAACATCAAAGACCAAAGGTAGATAAAACCACAAAGATGGAGGGAAACTAGAGCAGAAAAGCTGACAATTCTAAAAACCAGAGCACCTCTTCTCCTCCAAAGCATCGCAGCTCCTCGCCAGCAATGGAACAAAGCTGGATGGAGAATGACTTTGACAAGCTGACAGAAGTAGGCTTCAGAAGGTCGGTAATAACAAACTTCTCTGAGCTAAAGGAGGATGTTCGAACCCATTGCAAGGAAGCTAAAAACCTTGAAAAAAGATTAGACGAATGGCTAACTAGAATAAACAGTATAGACAAGACCTTAAATGACCTGATGGAGCTGAAAACCATGGCACAAGAACTATGTGACGCATGCATGAGCTTCAGTAGCTGATTTGATCAAGTAGAAGAAAGAGTATCAGTGGTTGAAGATCAAATTAATGAAATAAAGTGAGAAGAGAAGTTTAGAGAAAAAAGAGTAAAAAGAAATGAACAAAGCCTCCAAGAATTATGGGACTATGTGAAAAGACCAAATCTACGTTTGATTGGTGTGCCTGAAAGTGACAGGGAGAATGGAACCAAGTTTGAAAACACTCTTCAGGATATTATCCAGGAGAACTTCCCCAACCTAGCAAAGTAGGCCAACATTCAAGTTAAGGAAATACAGAGAACACCACAAAGATACTCTTCGAGAAGAGCAACCCCAAGACACATAATTGTCAGATTCACTAAGGTTGAAAGGAGGAAAAAATGTTAAGGGCAGCCAGAGAGAAAGGTCGGGTTACCCACAAAGGGAAGCCCATCAGACTAACAGCAGATCTCTTGGCAGAAACTCTACAAACCAGAAGAGTGTGGGGTCCAATATTCATCATTCTTAAAGAAAAGAATTTTTAACCCAGAATTTCATATCCAGCCAAACTAAGCTTCATAAATGAAGGAGGAATAAAATCCTTTACAGACAAGCAAATGCTGAGAGATTTTGTCACCACCAGGCCTGCCTTACAAGAGCTCCTGAAGGAAGCACTAAACATGTAAAGAAACAACCAGTACCAGCCACTGCAAAAACATGCCAAATTGTAAAGACCACTGATGCTAGGAAGAAACTGCAGCAACTAATGGGCAAAGTAACCAGCTAACATCATAATGACAGGATCAAATTCACACATAACAATATTAACCTTAAATGTAAATGGGCTAAATGCCCCAATTACAAGACACAGACTGGGAAATTGGATAGAGTCAAGACCCATCAGTGCTGTATTCAGGAGACCCATCTCATGTGGAGAGACACACATAGGCTCAAAATAAAGGGATGAAGGGAGATCTACCAAGCAAATGGAGAGCAAAAAAAGAGCAGGGGTTGCAAACCTAGTCTCTGATAAAACAGACTTTAAACCAACAAAGATCAAAAGAGACAAAAAAGGCCATTATACAATGGTAAAGGGATCAATTCAACAAGAAGACCTAACTAGCATAGATATATATGCACCCAATACAGGAGCACCCAGATTCACAAAGCAAGTCCTTAGAGACGTACAAAGAGACTTTGACTCTCACACAATAATAATGGGAGACTTTAACACCCCACTGTCAGTATTAGACAGATCAATGAGACAGAAGGTTAAAAAGGATATCCAGGACTTGAACTCAGCTCTGCACCAAGGAGACCTAATAGACATCTACAGAACTCTCCACCCCAGATCAGCAGAATATACATTCTTCTCAGCACCACACTGGAGTTATTCCAAAATTGACCACATAGTTGGAAGTTAAAAGCACTCCTCAGCAAATGTGAAAGAACAGAAATCACAACGAACTGTCTCTCAGACCACAGTGCAATCAAATTAAAACTCAAGATTAAGAAACTCACTCAAAACCACACAACTCCATGGAAACCGAACAACCTGCTCTTGAATGACTACTGGGTAAATAATGAAATGAAGGCAGAAATAAAGATCTTCTTTGAAACCAATGAGAACAAAGACACAATGTACCAAAATTTCTGGGACACATTTAAAGCAGTGGGTAGAGGGAAATTTATAGCACTAAATGCCCACAAGAGAAAGAAGGAAAGATCTAAAATTGACACCCTAACATCACAATTAAAAGAACTAGAGAAGCAAGAGCAAACAAATTCAAAAGCTAGCAGAAGGCAAGAAATAACTAAGATCAGAGCAGAACTTAAGGAGATAGACACACAAAATCCCTTCAAAAAACCAATGAATCCAGGAGCTGGTTTTTTGAAAACATCAACAAAATTGATAGACCGCTAGCAAGACTGATAAAGAAGAAAAGGGAGAAGAATCAAATAGACGCAATAAAAAATGATAAAGGGGATATCACCACTAATCCCACAGAAATACAAACTATCATCAGAGAATACTATAAACATCTCTTTGCAAATAAACTAGAAAATCTAGAAGAAATGCATAAATTCCTGGATACATACACCCTCCCAAGACTAAACCAGGAAGAAATTGAATCTCTGAATAGACCAATAACAGGCTCTCAAATTGAGGCAATAATTAATAGCCCACCAACCAAAAAAAGTTCAGGACCAGATGGATTCACAGTCAAATTCTACCAGAGGTACAAGGAGGAGCTGGTACCATTTCTTCTGAAACTATTCCAATCAATAGAAAAAGAGGGAATCATCCCTAACTCATTTTATGAGGCCAGCATCATCCTGATACCAAAACCTGACAGAGACACAACAAAAAAAAGAGAATTTTAGACCAGTATCCCTGATGAACATTGATGCGAAAATCCTCAATAAAATACTGGCAAACCGAATCCAGCAGCACATCAAAAAGCTTATCCACCACGATCAAGTAGGCTTCATCCCTGGGATGCAAGGGTGGTTCAACATATGCAAATCAATAAACATAATCCATCACATAAACAGAACCAAAGACAAAAACCACGATTATCTCAATAGATGCAGAAAAGGCCTTCGACAAAATTCAACAGTCCTTTGTGCTAAAAACTCAATAAACTAGGTATTGATGGAATGTATCTCAAAATAATAAGAGCTATTTATGACAAACCCCCAGCCAATATCATACTGAATGGGCAAAAACTGGAAGCATTCCCTTTGAAAACTGGCACAAGACAGGGATGCCCTCTCTCATCACTCCTACTCAACAAAGTGTTGGAAAGTCTGGCCAGGGCAATCAGGCAAGAGAAAGAAATAAAGGATATTCAATTAGGAAAAGAGGAAGTCAAATTGTCCCTGTTTGCAGATGACATGATTGTACATTTAGAAAACTCCACCATCTCAGCCCAAAATCTCCTTAAGCTGATAAGCAACTTCAGCAAAGTCTCAGGATACAAAATCAATGTGCAAAAATCACAAGCATTTTTATACACCAATAACAAAGAGCCAAATCATGAATGAACTCCCCTTCACAATTGCTACAAAGAGAATAAAATACCTAGGAATCCAGCTTACAAGGGATGTGAAGGACCTCTTAAAGGTGAACTACAAACCACCGTTCAAAGAAATAAAAGAGGACAGAAACAAATTGAACATTCCATGCTCATGGATAGGAAGAATCAATATCGTGAAAATGACCATACTGCCCAAGGTAATTTTAGATTCAGTGGCATCCCCATCAAGCTACCAATGACTTCACAGAATTGGAAAAACTACTTTAAATTTCATATGGAACCAAAAAAGAGCCCACATTGCCAAGACAATCCTAAGCAAAAAGAACAAAGCTGGAGACATTACGCTACCTGACTTCAAACTATACTACAAGGCTACAGTAACCAAAACAGCATGGTACTGGTAACAAAACAGAGATATAGACCAATGGAACAGAACAGAGGCCTCAGAAGTAACACTGTACATCTACAGCCCTCTGATCTTTGACAAACCTGACAAAAACAAGAAATGGGGAAAGAATTCGCTATTTAATAAATGGTGCTGGGAAAACTGGCTAGCCATATGTAGAAAGCTGAAACTGGATCCCTTCCTTACACCTTATACAAAAATTAATTCAAGATGGATTAAAAACTTAAATGTTAGACCTAAAACCATAAAAACCCTAGAAGAAAACTTAGGCAATACCATTCAGGACATAGGCATGGGCAAGGACTTCATGACTAAAACACCAAAAGCAATGGCAACAAAAGTCAAAACTGACAAGCGGGATCTAATTAAACTAAAGAGCTTCTGCATAGCAAAAGAAACTACCATCAGAGTGAAGAGGCAACCTACAGAATGGGAGAAAATTTTTGCCATCTACCTATCTGACAAAGGGCTTATATCCAGAATCTACAAAGAACTTAAGCAAATTTACAAGAAAAAAACCAACCCCATCAAAAAGTGGGCGTAGGATATGAACAGACATTTCTCAAAAGAAGACATTTATGCAGCCAACAGACACATGAAAAAATGCTCATCATCACTGGTCATCAGAGAAATGCAAATCAAAACCACAATGAGATACCATCTCACACCAGTTAGAATGGCGATCATTAAAAAGTCAGGAAACAACAGGTGCTGGAGAGGATGTGGAGAAATAGGAATGCTTTTACACTGCTGGTGGGAGTGTAAACTAGTTCAACCATTGTGGAGGACAGTGTGGCGACTCCTCAAGGATCTAGAACTAGAAATACCATTTGACCCAGCCATCCCATTACTGGGTATATACCCAAAGGATTATAAATCATGCTGCTATAAAGACACATGTACACGTATGTTTATTGTGGCACTATTCACAATAGCAAAGACTTGGGACCAACCCAAATGTCCATCTATGATAGACTGGATTAAGAAAGTGTGGCACATGTACACCATGGAATACTATGCAGCCATAAAAAAGGATGAGTTCATGTCCTTTGTAGGGACATGGATGAAGCTGGAAAGCATCATTCTGAGCAAACTATCACAAGGACAGAAAACCAGACACAGCATTTTCTCACTCATAGGTGGGAATTGAACAATGAGAACACTTGGACACAGGGCAGAGAACATCACACCCCAGAGCCTGTTGTGGGGTGGGGGGCAGGGCTGGAGGGATAGCATTCGGAGAAATACCCAATGTAAATGACAAGTTAATGGGTACAGCAAACCAACATGGCACATGTGTACATATGTAACAATCCTGCACGTTATGCACATGTATGTACCCTGGAACTTAAAGTATAGTAATAAAAAAAAATGGAAAATCCCGACTCCAACTAGCTTAAGCAAAGAAAGAAAATTGTTGGCTTATGTACGTAGGAAACTAAAGAGGTGGTTTTTTTAAATAGCTGGTCTCAGGGATTCAAATGTCATCATCAGGAATCTCACTTTCTGTCTCTCTCCATCTCTTAGGTCTGCTTTCATCTCTTTTGGCTTCATCTCAATGGGGAAGGTTTGCATTTTTCTTAAAGCTAGCAATCCAGGAGAATAGAGCCCTGCTTGCTTTCTTCATCAGGACTCTGATTTACCAATCTCTGTATGTGGGAGAATAGGGCATTTTGATTGGCTAGCCTAGTAGACATTCACTTCCATGCCTTGAAGGCAAGGCCACATAATTGACAGACCCATCAGAATCAGGAGGAAGGTAAGTTCCAAAAAAGAGGGATGAAGGACAGACAAAAAAAAAAAAAAAAAAAAAAAAAAAAAGCCTTGTGGTGTGCTTTTTCAGTAACGTATTTCACATACAATTTTGCTTATATAAGCAGTTTTCCAGCAAATAGCAAAAATTAAAATGTTTTCCAACAAACCAGCATTTTTTTAATCCTTTTTTTTTTTTTTTTTGAGATGTAGTCTCACTCTGTCGCCCAGCCTGGAGTGCAGTGGCGCGATCTCACCGCACTGCAAGCTCCACCTCCCGGGTTCCTGCCATTCTCCTGCCTCAGCCTCCCAAGTAGCTGGGACTACAGGCACCTGCCACCACCACACCCGGCTAATTTATTTATTTATTTTGTATTTTTAGTAGAGACGGGGTTTCACTGTGTTAGCCAGGATGGTCTCTATCTCCTGACCTTGTGATCCGCCCGCCTTGGCCTCCCAAAGTGCTGGGATTACAGGTGTGAGCCACTGAACCCGGCCCATTTTTTTCATTCTTAAACAGTATTATACCAATTGTAGACTTAGATTCATATTTTTTTTCTTTCTTTAAGCTCTCATCTGTTAATTACTAAGGGAATTTCACATTTAATCATTGCTATATGGTCTAGAATCACATGATGACAAGTAAGTTGTGTTTAATGCCCAGCCTCTATTTGTAATCTAGTAGGATTTTACATTTAAAATTAAATAACATTCTTTATCATTTTTAGCTGAAAATGGCAAAAACAGGAGCAGAAGATCACAGAGAAGCACTATCTCAGTCTTCCTTATCCCTCTTGACTGAAGCAATGGAAGTATTACAGCAAAGTAGCCCTGAAGGCACTTTGGATGGGAATACTGTAAACCCAATTTACAAATATATTTTGAATGATTTACCAAGGTAAGAACATTATTTCAGCAGCTTAAACTAAATACTGAAGGGGATAAAAGTGTTTATAGAAAGTAGTTTAAATTTTCAATCAGTCTTGGCCGGGCCAGGTGGCTCATGCCTGTAATCCCAGCACTTTGGGAGGCCGAGGCAGGTGGATCACTTGAGGTTAGAAGTTCGAGACCAGCCTGGCCAACATGGTGAAACCCTGTCTCTACTAAAAATACGAAAAAATTAGCCGGACATGGTCATGGGAACCTGTAATCTCAGCTACTCGGAAGGCTAAGGCAGGAGAATCGCTTGATCCTAGGAGGTGGAGGTTGCAGTGAGCTGAGATCATGCCACTTGACTCTAGCCTGGGCGACAGAGTGAGACTCTGTCTAAAAAAAAATGTTTGAGTACAGGTGATATAAATAAGTAACTTTGAGATGTGTTGAGTTATGGAGGTTGTTGCTTAGAGTAGAGCCCTTCCTTTTTTCTACTTTGTGGGAAGAAAAAATGTAGATGATGCAATAAATGTAAATTATCTCTGGGATCTGACTTGAACAGGTATCATAATGATAATAACGATAATGGCAGGTAGTACTTGTTAGGTGCCAGTCACCATGCTTAGCACTTAACCTGCATTATATCAATTTTGTTCTCAAAACAATACTAGAGGCTGGGTGCAGTTACTCACGCCTGTAATCCCAGCACTTTGGAAGACTGAGGCGGGCAGATCACCTGAGGTCGGGAGTTTGAGACCAGCCTGACCAACATGGTGAAACCCCATCTCTACTGAAAATACAAAAAATTAGCAGGGCTTGGTGGTGTATGCCTGTAATCCCAGCTACTCGGGAGGCTGAGGCAGGAGAATCGCTTGAACCCGGGAGCTGGAGGTTGCGGTGAGCCAAGATCGCGCCATTGCACTCCAGCCTGGGTAACAAGAGCGAAACTCTGTCTAAAAAACAAAACAAAACAAAACACTAGGAGGAATATAAGACAGATGATAGTCTCAATACCTTTGTTTTACCTATGAGGAAACAAAGGCAGAGAGAGGTTTATTAACTTGACTAAGCTTACACAACTAGTAAGTAGTAATAAAGAAGGTATGGTATGAACTCAAATGGGTCTAACACTACAGCATTTATCAGAACTGTAAAGCAGAGGAGACGGTATTCTTCCTGTGCTTTTTCTCTGTTAGAAAGTGAAAGAACTAAAAGATATTTGTCATACATTGATAAACTATTGGCTGTCTGAGTGTGATGCCCTAGTCTTTATGTTAAATAGAAAACTGAGACTATAAGAAAATCAATATATTATTCATAAATTAAAGATTATGTTAATCTTCTTATGGAAATGTTAGATCATATTTATTTCCTAGATCAGTTTGAATGTTTGCTTATTTTTGTTTGTGTGTCACTAGGTTAAGATGAAAGTGAAACCTTGACTTTCAGCTAATTCGTTTTGCTTTATTCCTCTCAGCTATAAGTGCATATTAGCAGTATATGAGATCCTTTATACAGTGCAGCTTTTAAAAAAATGAATACCCTGTGTGTTATATTGTAGGGACATAAGTCACTCATGACTTATTATAAAAAAATTTCTAAATAGGATTAAATGTTCCTTTATACAAATGCCAATTCTAATATAATGTGTACTTACACATATTTTTATTGCCTTTAATATTTATTTCCAATTTTCTACTTCAAAATGGTGATACATTCACTTTTTATTCTAACTATTTTTGTGCATTTTTAGCTACTTTATTTTTTTTATGGTAAAGCTAAACGTATTTTCACTTATTCGCTCTGTTCCTGCTTTTTTCCTATTTGCTTTCTTTGATTGTTAGTCGGTTTAACACTGGCTTTATTTGTCCTTTTCATTATATGTCAGTCTTTCTTCTCATGTGACACTTTCCTACCGCTGTTTTTTCTAGTTTTTGTTTCAATGTGCTTCTTTTGTTTCTTTGTTTGAATCCTAACTTCTTTTCTGTCACTATTGCCTGTTACCATCAACTTTGATTATGATAAACCAAGAAAATGAAGTAACCCTCTTCTTGGCAATCAAATGGAAAGCTGTAGACAATGCTCTGAGGTCTTTTACCTTCATGAAAAAGAAAATGATGAGTTTCAATCTGAAAGGGGTCAAGTTCATAAAGGCTAATGGTAATTTAAGAGCCATTGGTATTAATATGATTATCAGAGAGAGGCAATTTTCTCTATGAGTAAAGACATTTCCCCCCTGATTGAGGTTAAAACTTCTTTTGTCTCATTCTTGTTTTCCTTGCCACCTTTCTTCTACCATCTTGTGGTCTTTTTATGAGAAGTAATTATTAAAATATAGTCAATTTGTTTTTCCTACTTGTATCACAGAGATTCTGCATTTCTTCATTAATTAATACACTGTACTTTTTACAAAATATGCCTACATATATATGTATATATATTAAGTCCATTCAAAGTAGCCATACAGTGACCACTTTATTTTCTTGTTACTATCTGATGCTATCAGTTTACTTTTCATTATATTTACATTATCCACTGTCCTTCCCTCTGTTCTTTCTTTCCATGTGTTTCCTCTGCTGTCACTCCATGCTGCATTTGCTTATAACACAGTGAAAACCTCTGTACCAGGACATGCCCCCTCACAAGAAAACTAACACCAACATTATAAATGTTTTCAGCTTATTATACCAAAGGTTTCATCCTCTTATTTTATGACTCACCATTTGGAGGTCATGTGACTAAAAAAATGTAGCCTCATTTCTGTGGCTACTTCCAGGAAAGTAGCACAATAGTAAACTTTTCTTGCTCAGCTGTAGTCTGATGCATTCCCAAGTGACCCAGAATTGGGCAATAGCCTTGGAGACATGGATGACAGAATCAGTTATTTATTAGTAACAGGTATCCAGGCATAGTTTCACCATATTCATATCCAGCACTCCAAATGCTGGAGTGGAAGATCTCCAAATTACAATTGCATTTTTACATGAGGAGAATGTTGTAAACAATTAGTATATTTTTCCATCTCAATGTAAAATATGTTGTTTTAATGATTTTCAACCAATTATCATCTAAGGAATGTGATTTAATGATTTTTATAATGGGAAGTTATAGTATTTTTTATCCTGCTGGCAGCTCAGTACATTACCAACTCTTACAATTCCCTGAGGAGGAAAATTACTTTTAGTAAAATAAATGAGAACTGAAATCAGTTTTTAAAAAGTAAATACTAACCATTTTTTTGTTGTACATTATCTAGGTTACTTTTTCACAAGCAAATCTTGCTTTCAAGGATACTAACAGACACCTAATCTATTCAATCACTATTTAATGTAATTTCTCTTGGGTACTTTTTACTTGGAATGAATCTTAGATCCTTTTTGAAATATAAACATTTTTGAAATATAAACATTGCCTTTTCTATGGACAGTTTAAGTTTAGCAACTTCAGCATTCCAAAAATGAACTGTCGATTCCCACCGTGGAATGAGTGACAGAAGGGAGTGAGAAGAAAACAGCAATAGTGAATGAAGCATGGTCACACCTTCACTGTTTTAGACTCCTGCTACCCAAGAAATTATATTTTCTCCAGTTCATAATTTTTTTCCAGATTTTTTCCTTCAAGCCTTTACAAATATTTCTGCAGATCTACATATAAATATAATATTTTCTTTATAAAATGTTAAAAGACTAGATCATTGTTTCTTTTTGAAAATTTAAATTTCTTCTGGAAAAGTTGTATATAATATTTATAAGCCCCCCAGTTTTAAATTTCACATATGCCTTATTTTTATTCCTGTATACTTTTACACAAGTAAAAAACCTTTTTTTTTTCCTTTGGGTGGAATGATTTATGCCCCCGATGCTATGCTCAGATGTGTCTTTATGAATCTTGGAAATTGTTCTTCTTCTTTAGAAGTTTTTCTTCTGCAAAGTAAACAAGTTTAACTTAACAAACACTTATTGAATATATTCTATGTAGTATATATGTAGTTTGAACATAACGTTTTGGTTATTATTCAATCATTGAGTTGCAAGTAAAAATTTGTTATGTGTTATAAAATATCCTGAAATTGCTCTGCAGTTGGAAAAACCCTTATACACATTTTTAGGCCAAACTAGAATTACATTTTCTTCTGGAATTGGAAGTAAAACTTTTGGGGAATTTTTTACTTTTATTACTCATTTTCTATGATGTTTAAATTGTATTTTATCACAGAATCTAGCAATTGGAGAAAGTTATTTGTATCTTTGGAAGTTTAAGCAAGTTGGAGAAAGGGCAGGATGAAGTTTAATAAAAACTTTGTGCTTTGTGTACTTAAGAGATTTTATAAAAGCTTACATTCACCAAACATAAGTGGGGTTATTTCTTTTATTGGTTGCATTCCAGTATTTTAAACTGATGATTCATTATTGAACATACTTATGGTCATTTCCCTTTGTGTTTATAGTTTATTTGTATATATTTCAATTCAAGAGCTTAATTACCATTAAAATGGTACTATAATAAAGATAAGTTTTACAAATGATAATATTAAAAAAAAACTCTTCAGGAAGGTTTAAATGCCATAAAAATATAAAGCAAGAAATATATGCTTGTCAAATATACACTATAAATAAATAATTTAGATGAAAATGGTTGACTGCATTTAACAAAGAGACTACCAAATAATGAAGGGCTAAAGAGTGGTTGTTAGATTTGATGTACTTCATTTCATATTGTAAGTAATTGCTATCCATAAAAATTCTATGGCTTCTGTATAAGAAAAAGAGACATTTTGACAGGCAACACGAATATGAAGCGACAGCAAGTACAAATCCTTGGCAACTGTCATTTCATTATCCTGCTGTTGAATTCACATCCAAATTGTGTGATAACTTATACCTGCATGTTTGTTTTTGAGCCAGGGTCTGTCAAAGTAGCCGCGTTTCCTGCTTAAGAATAGAATTATTAGCCACATGCAAATTTATGCCATAGAAATCTAAAAATAGCAAGGATGTTTTGTGTTTCATAAAGAGGGAAAATAAAAACTCCATGTCATTTTATGCTTATACTGAAATTTCCAGTGAAACGTTCCTGATTAAATAAAAGTAGAATTTTTAGAAAATAGCAGATAATTTATATTTTACCTTATTTTGAAATTAATTCAACATTAGTAAAGGTGTTTAATAAAACTAAAAATAAAGCAAAAGTAATTCGGATTGTCAGTTACATTATACTACATGTCCATTACATTTAATGCAGTAGTGGAAAGCTGATTATATGTTAGGCCACTATCAGTGGAAAGTAACAAAATTCAACTGAAAGTTACTTTAAAAATGAGGAACATTCATTATTTCACATAAGAAGAATTCAGAGAGAGAGCAATTTTAGGGTTAAATTCAGCAGTTCAGCAGTGTTATCAAAAAGTCTGGCTCATTGTGTCTTTGCCTCTGCCATCCTCAGAATATTGGCTAGATCCTTTGGCTTGACCCCTCCTGCTTGCAAGATGGCTCATCACATGTTCACTCAACAATGTCCGAGTAAAGAAGATGGATGTTTGATCACTTGTATCTCTTTTTCATTAGGGCAAATAACCTTTCTGTAAAAGATTTTTTATGTCTCATTGGCCAAAATTAGATCACAAGCAGATTACTTAACCTGCCAGGGTCAAGGGAAATGAAATTACCATCATTGGCTTTAGACCATTGAAGATTTACTCACTGGAGCTGATCGTAGGATACTTTCCATGGACATATAAGGAAGATGAATTCTTAAAAATAACCGAGACTTTATCTAAGAAGAAATGGGGGAAATGACTTACATAGATAATCAACATTACCTGACATAACTCTTGGCTTCAGCTTTCTTTTATTTTATTTCTTAAATTGTGTTTGTTTCTTTTCAGTGGTATTTGGATACATTTTTGCACGCTGTCATAATTATCAAAGAATAATTCCTGCATATCGACCACTGATTGAGTTCCTGTGGAAATGTAGCAGATGTAAAACAAGGATCTTACTCTTGCAGAGTGGGATCTGAAATCATCTTAAATCATATAACCGATAACAAAGCAAACATGGCAATATGCAAAACAGGACATCAATTTATACAAAGGGCCTGGGAAAATGATTTAGAATAAGGAATAACTATGATCTGACAGAATTAACTTCTCTTAGGTGTCTTGTCATCCTAAACAGTTTTGGTGAGGCCTTTTCCATGACCCTAACCCCTGGAATTTTTCCCTTCAGTAACCAGGGCTTTTTCTTCAGAGCTAATCGTGATCAGTAATTGTAAATTTATATGTGTAACTATTTAATAGTTCTCTCTTTCACCTGACAATTAATATTATTATGAAAGAGTTTCTAGAAAATGTAAGTTCTGAGTTGAGATCAACATTTATTAAATATTTATTTTTTGAAGGGAGTACAGTAATAGGTATAGATTAGCTGAGTGAACACAATTGGTAAAAAGGTATGCAGGGCGGGGAGGAGCCAAGATGGCCGAATAGGAACAGCTCCGGTCTACAGCTCCCAGCGTGAGCGACGCAGAAGACGGGTGATTTCTGCATTTCCATCTGAGGTACCGGGTTCATCTCACTAGGGAGTGCAAGACAGTGGGCGCAGGCCAGTGTGTGTGTGCACCGTGCGCGAGCCGAAGCTGGGCGAGGCATTGCCTCACCTGGGAAGCGCAAGGGGTCAGGGAGTTCCCTTTCCAAGTCAAAGAAAGGGGTGACGGACGCACCTGGAAAATCGGGTCACTCCCACCCGAATATTGCGCTTTTCAGACCGGCTTAAGAAACGGCGCACCACGAGACTATATCCCACACCTGGCTCAGAGGGTCCTACGCCCACGGAATCTCGCTGATTGCTAGCACAGCAGTCTGAGATCAAACTGCAAGGCGGCAACGAGGCTGGGGGAGGGGCGCCCGCCATTGCCCAGGCTTGCTTAGGTAAACAAAGCAGCCGGGAAGCTCGAACTGGGTGGAGCCCACCACAGCTCAAGGAGGCCTGCCTGCCTCTGTAGGCTCCACCTCTGGGGGCAGGGCACAGACAAACAAAAAGACAGCAGTAACCTCTGCAGACTTAAGTGTCCCTGTCTGACAGCTTTGAAGAGAGCAGTGGTTCTCCCAGCACGCAGCTGGAGATCTGAGAACGGGCAGACTGCCTCCTCAAGTGGGTCCCTGACCCCTGACCCCCGAGCAGCCTAACTGGGAGGCACCCCCCAGCAGGGGCACACTGACACCTCACACGGCAGGGTATTCCAACAGACCTGCAGCTGAGGGTCCTGTCTGTTAGAAGGAAAACTAACAACCAGAAAGGACATCTACACCGAAAACCCATCTGTACATCACCATCATCAAAGACCAAAAGTAGATAAAACCACAAAGATGGGGAAAAAACAGAACAGAAAAACTGGAAACTCTAAAATGCAGAGCGCCTCTCCTCCTCCAAAGGAACGCAGTTCCTCACCAGCAACAGAACAAAGCTGGATGGAGAATGATTTTGACGAGCTGAGAGAAGAAGACTTCAGACGATCAAATTACTCTGAGCTACGGGAGGACATTCAAACCAAAGGCAAAGAAGTTGAAAACTTTGAAAAAAATTTAGAAGAATGTATAACTAGAATAACCAATACAGAGAAGTGCTTAAAGGAGCTGATGGAGCTGAAAACCAAGGCTCGAGAACTACGTGAAGAATGCAGAAGCCTCAGGAGCCGATGCGATCAACTGGAAGAAAGGGTATCAGCAATGGAAGATGAAATGAATGAAATGAAGCGAGAAGGGAAGTTTAGAGAAAAAAGAATAAAAAGAAATGAGCAAAGCCTCCAAGAAATATGGGACTATGTGAAAAGACCAAATCTACGTCTGATTGGTGTACCTGAAAGTGATGTGGAGAATGGAACCAAGTTGGAAAACACTCTGCAGGATATTATCCAGGAGAACTTCCCCAATCTAGCAAGGCAGGCCAACGTTCAGATTCAGGAAATACAGAGAACGCCACAAAGATACTCCTCGAGAAGAGCAAGTCCAAGACACATAATTGTCAGATTCACCAAAGTTGAAATGAAGGAAAAAATGTTAAGGGCAGCCAGAGAGAAAGGTCGGGTTACCCTCAAAGGAAAGCCCATCAGACTAACAGCGGATCTCTCGGCAGAAACCCTACAAGCCAGAAGAGAGTGGGGGCCAATATTCAACATTCTTAAAGAAAAGAATTTTCAACCCAGAATTTCATATCCAGCCAAACTAAGCTTCATAAGTGAAGGAGAAATAAAATACTTTATAGACAAGCAAATGCTGAGAGATTTTGTCACCACCAGGCCTGCCCTAAAAGAGCTCCTGAAGGAAGTGCTAAACATGGAAAGGAACAACCAGTACCAGCCGCTGCAAAATCATGCCAAAATGTAAAGACCATCAAGACTAGGAAGAAACTGCATCAACTAATGAGCAAAATCACCAGCTAACATCATAATGACAGGATCAAATTCACACATAACAATATTAACTTTAAATATAAATGGACTAAATTCTGCAATTAAAAGACACAGACTGGCAAGTTGGATAAAGAGTCAAGACCCATCAGTGTGCTGTATTCAGGAAACCCATCTCACGTGCAGAGGCACACATAGGCTCAAAATAAAAGGATGGAGGAAGATCTACCAAGCCAATGGAAAACAAAAAAAGGCAGGGGTTGCAATCCTAGTCTCTGATAAAACAGACTTTAAACCAACAAAGATCAAAAGAGACAAGGCCATTACATAATGGTAAAGGGATCAACTCAACAAGAGGAGCTAACTATCCTAAATATTTATGCACCCAATACAGGAGCACCCAGATTCATAAAGCAAGTCCTCAGTGACCTACAAAGAGACTTAGACTCCCACACATTAATAATGGGAGACTTTAACACCCCACTGTCAACATTAGACAGATCAACGAGACAGAAAGTCAACAAGGATACCCAGGAATTGAACTCAGCTCTGCACCAAGCAGACCTAATAGACATCTACAGAACTCTCCACCCCAAATCAACAGAATATACATTTTTTTCAGCACCACACCACACCTATTCCAAAATTGACCACATAGTTGGAAGTAAAGCTCTCCTCAGCAAATGTAAAAGAACAGAAATTATAACAAACTATCTCTCAGACCACAGTGCAATCAAACTAGAACTCAGGATTAAGAATCTCACTCAAAGCCGCTCAACTACATGGAAACTGAACAACTTGCTCCTGAATGACTACTGGGTACATAACGAAATGAAGGCAGAAATAAAGATGTTCTTTGAAACCAACGAGAACAAAGACACCACATACCAGAATCTCTGGGACGCGTTCAAAACAGTGTGTAGAGGGAAATTTATAGCACTAAATGCCTACAAGAGAAAGCAGGAAAGATCCAAAATTGACACCCTAACATCACAATTAAAAGAACTAGAAAAGCAAGAGCAAACACATTGAAAAGCTAGCAGAAGGCAAGAAATAACTAAAATCAGAGCAGAACTGAAGGAAATAGAGACACAAAAAACCCTTCAAAAAATCAATGAATCCAGGAGCTGGTTTTTTGAAAGGATCAACAAAATTGATAGACCGCTAGCAAGACTAATAAAGAAAAAAAGAGAGAAGAATCAAATAGACACAATAAAAAATGATAAAGGGGATATCACCACCGATCCCACAGAAATACAAACTACCATCAGAGAATACTACAAACACCTCTACGCAAATAAACTAGAAAATCTAGAAGAAATGGATACATTCCTCGACACATACACTCTCCCAAGACTAAACCAGGAAGAAGTTGAATCTCTGAATAGACCAATAACAGGCTCTGAAATTGTGGCAATAATCAATAGTTTACCAACCAAAAAGAGTCCAGGACCAGATGGATTCACAGCCGAATTCTACCAGAGGTACAAGGAGGAACTGGTACCATTCCTTCTGAAACTATTCCAATCAATAGAAAAAGAGGGAATCCTCCCTAACTCATTTTATGAGGCCAGCATCATTCTGATACCAAAGCTGGGCAGAGACACAACCAAAAAAGAGAATTTTAGACCAATATCCTTGATGAACATTGATGCAAAAATCCTCAATAAAATACTGGCAAACCGAATCCAGCAGCACATCAAAAAGCTTATCCACCATGATCAAGTGGGCTTCATCCCTGGGATGCAAGGCTGGTTCAATATACGCAAATCAATAAATGTAATCCAGCATATAAACAGAGCCAAAGACAAAAACCACATGATTATCTCAATAGATGCAAAAAAAGCCTTTGACAAAATTCAACAACCCTTCATGCTAAAAACTCTCAATAAATTAGGTATTGATGGGACGTATCTCAAAATAATAAGAGCTATCTATGACAAACCCACAGCCAATATCATACTGAATGGGCAAAAACTGGAAGCATTCCCTTTGAAAACTGGCACAAGACAGAGATGCCCTCTCTCACCGCTCCTATTCAACATAGTGTTGGAAGTTCTGGCCAGGGCAATCAGGCAGGAGAAGGAAATAAAGGGTATTCAATTAGGAAAAGAGGAAGTCAAATTGTCCCTGTTTGCAGACGACATGATTGTTTATCTAGAAAACCCCATCGTTTCAGCCCAAAATCTCCTTAAGCTGATAAGCAACTTCAGCAAAGTCTCAGGATACAAAATCAATGTACAAGAATCACAAGCATTCTTATACACCAACAACAGACAAACAGAGAGCCAAATCATGGGTGAACTCCCATTCACAATTGCTTCAAAGAGAATAAAATACCTAGGAATCCAACTTACAAGGGATGTGAAGGACCTCTTCAAGGAGAACTACAAACCACTGCTCAAGGAAATAAAAGAGGACACAAACAAATGGAAGAACATTCCATGCTCATGGGTAGGAAGAATCAATATCGTGAAAATGGCCATACTGCCCAAGGTAATTTACAGATTCAATGCCATCCCCATCAAGCTACCAATGACTTTCTTCACAGAATTGGAAAAAACTACTTTAAAGTTCATATGGAACCAAAAAAGAGCCCGCATTGCCAAGTCAATCCTAAGCCAAAAGAACAAAGCTGGAGGCATCACACTACCTGACTTCAAACTATACTACAAGGCTACAGTAACCAAAACAGCATGATACTGGTACCAAAACAGAAATATAGATCAATGGAACAGAACAGAGCCCTCAGAAATAATGCCGCATATCTACAACTATCTGATCTTTGACAAACCTGAGAAAAACAAGCAATGGGGAAAGGATTCCCTATTTAATAAATGGTGCTGGGAAAACTGGCTAGCCATATGTAGAAAGCTGAAACTGGATCCCTTCCTTACACCTTATACAAAAATCAATTCAAGATGGATTAAAGATTTAAACGTTAGACCTAAAACCATAAAAACCCTAGAAGAAAACCTAGGCATTACCATTCAGGACATAGGCGTGGGCAAGGACTTCATGTCCAAAACACCAAAAGCAATGGCAACAAAAGCCAAAATTGACAAATGGGATCTAATTAAACTAAAGAGCTTCTGCACAGCAAAAGAAACTACCATCAGAGTGAACAGGCAACCTACAACATGGGAGAAAATTTTCGCAACCTACTCATCTGACAAAGGGCTAATATCCAGAATCTACAATGAACTCAAACAAATTTACAAGAAAAAAACAAACAACCCCATCAAAAAGTGGGCGAAGGACATGAACAGACACTTCTCAAAAGAAGACATTTATGCAGCCAAAAAACACATGAAGAAATGCTCATCATCACTGGCCATCAGAGAAATGCAAATCAAAACCACTATGAGATATCATTTCACACCAGTTAGAATGGCAATCATTACAAAGTCAGGAAACAACAGGTGCTGGAGAGGATGTGGAGAAATAGGAACACTTTTACACTGTTGGTGGGACTGTAAACTAGTTCAACCATTGTGGAAGTCAGTGTGGCGATTCCTCAGGGATCTAGAACTAGAAATACCATTTGACCCAGCCATCCCATTACTGGGTATATACCCAAAGGACTATAAATCATGCTGCTATAAAGACACATGCACACGTATGTTTATTGCGGCACTATTCACAATAGCAAAGACTTGGAACCAACCGAAATGTCCAACAATGATAGATGGATTAAGAAAATGTGGCACATATACACCGTGGAATACTATGCAGCCATAAAAAATGATGAGTTCATATCCTTTGTAGGGACATGGATGAAATTGGAAACCATCATTCTCAGTAAACTATTGCAAGAACAAAAAACCAAACACCGCATATTCTCACTCATAGGTGGGAATTGAACAATGAGATCACATGGACACAGGAAGGGGAATATCACACTCTGGGGACTGTGGTGGGGTCGGGGGAGGGGAGAGGGATAGCATTGGGAGATATACCTAATGCTAGATGACACATTAGTGGGTGCAGCGCACCAGCATGGCACATGTATACATATGTAACTAACCTGCACAATATGCACATGTACCCTAAAACTTAGAGTTTAATAAAAAAAAAAAAAAAAAAAAAGGTATGCAGATGGCCGGGCATGGTGGCTCACGCCTGTAATCCCAGCAATTTGGGAGGCCCAGGTGGGCGGATCACAAGGTCAGGAGATCGAGACCATCCTGGCTAACACGGTGAAACCCCCTCTCTACTAAAAATACAAAAAATTAGCCGGGCATGGCAGCGTGCACCTGTAGTCTCAGCTACTCGGGAGGCTGAGGCAGGAGGATGGCGTGAACCTGGGAGGTGGAGCTTGCAGTGAGCCGAGACTGTACCAGTGAGCCGAGACTGTACCACTGTACTCCAGCCTGGGTGACAGAGCGAGACTCTGTCTCAAAAAAAAAAAAAAAAAAAAAAAAAAAAAGGGTATGCAAATAGGAACTATGGAAGGCAATGTGGTGTAGTTATAGCTGAGGGATATTACAGGGGAGTAATGAGCAGCACCACTTGGTAGAAATTGTTGAATGTGAGACCAAGAAGTATGATTTTACTAGGAGTTTTCTTCAAATTGCTATAAAAAGTCACTAAGGTTTACTAATGCCATTAAGGAGAGGAAATGAGAAAAATTGTTCTTGTCAAATCTGTAGTCATCTCCTTAATTCTTATGGTCTACTTACCTGTTTTTTTCTGTACTCCTTCCTAAGAATATTTTCTTATATTTTTAGACCTTAAAGATTACTTAGTTGTTGCTTTGTGAAGCAAAAATTGTAAACTAGATTTAATGAAAATCTCAGAGAGTAAGCATAATTAAATGCTACCCTGAAATATCAAGAGGGTTGTAAATTCCACCATGTTTAAGATCTTTAGGACCTGTAAATATAATGAGATATCACCATCATGATTAAGTTTCATTATATGGCAAAAGAGAAAAGATTTCTGCAGATGTCGTTAAGTGACATAATCAGTTATCTTTAAGTTAATTAAAAGGGAGATTATTCTGGGTGTGCCTGACCTAATCAGATAAACTCTTAAATGATAGCGATCATAGATTGATAACTTAGAAAGCTAAGCTATTCCTGGCCTCAAAAAAGATGATAGTCAGTATAAGTTCTATAGCAGTCAAGAACTGAATTCTGGCACCAACCTGAATGAGCTTGGAAGAGGACCCTGAGCATCAGATGAGACTGCAGCCCCAGCTGACACCTTGATTTCAGCTCTGTGAGATTCTGAACAGAGGATCCAGCTAAGCTTTGCCCAGACTCTGGACCTACAGAAATAGTGTGCTCATAAATAGATGTTATTTTAAGCCACTAATTTTGTGGTAGTTTGTTGTGCTTCAATAGATGTACAACTAATAATGGATGGAGAAGTAAATGGTAGGTAGGTAGGTTAGATATATAAATAGATTTTTAAAGGAAGTGTACTTATGAGGTAATATGATTAATGTTCTTGTATTAATCCATTTTAGTGGAATTTAAACTTCAGGCTTAAAAAGAATGCTTCTATATCATGGCAAAAGATTAAATAATGCAATGATAAATTGAAATGTTTGACAGAAATTAAAGGCTAGCATTTTATATGATAGGAAATAACCAATGAGATATAGTAATTCTGGCTATCAAATCATCCAGGGCAGGTGTGGATGCACAGGGAGGAAGCACATTCCTTCAT
Source organism: Homo sapiens (assembly GCF_000001405.40). Classification (NCBI taxonomy): domain Eukaryota; kingdom Metazoa; phylum Chordata; class Mammalia; order Primates; family Hominidae; genus Homo; species Homo sapiens. The sequence goes on along the minus strand of NC_000011.10, from coordinate 31,314,059 downwards.
GTGGGGTTGGCATAGAAATCATACTGAAAAAGGAACTACTTTGTCTGTTTATATGTGAGTTATTTACAGATGTAATGAAAAATTTGCAGTAGAGACATATACACTTCCAGGACAAGATGATCAATCTGTCAGAAATATTAAAAAGAAAATCTATGTTATAAAATTAGCCCAGGTTCCAGAATGTTATAGAAAATCTCAACAGTAGGTGAGGAGAAGGTGAGGGTTTTGTTGTGTTTTGTTTTTTGTTTTTGTTTTTGTCTTTGGACAAAAGACCATTTTCTAGAACAACTGGTTTAGGAATTCACATGCAAAGGAACTATACCTGTTCACGGAGACTACATATGGGCCAATGAGTAAAAATAACCACAGCACTAAATTAAATTTAGTATCAGTTGGGAAAGACAAAATTCAGCAAAACTATCATACAACTTACTGAATTTTAGAAAAGATATCTGTGTAGATCTTAATGTAGATCTTAAAAATGTAGATCTTAAAATAAATTATAATGTAAAATGTATATAATTAATAGTTCTCAAGAAGCACAGGAAGGACAGGATGCAAAACCTCAAGCTCGAGCAAGGAATATTCTGGAGCTGAGCTCCCTGCATAAGGCTAGGACCCCTGAAAGACAGATGCACCTATTCATGAAAATGGGAACAAAGGTATTGTTCATCAGCCCTAGGAAGCAACAATAAACAGATATAATGTGTTTTAAGGTTTGTGCATTGTCTGGAAAGTAATGAGTAAGTAATCATGTTAAACTTTAATAGGACAAGGATTCATATTGTAATGGCTAGCATAACCAGTAAAAATAAAGTTAAGCAAATGTGTAACTTATAACCTAATAGAAAGGGAAATTAAATAATGGAAAATTATTTTTTAATCTAAACAAAGACAACAAGTGAAAAAGAGCATAGAACAGATAGGTAAAACAGAAAACAAATAGCAAATATATTAGGGTTCTCCAGAGAAACAGAACCAGTAGGTTTTAATATTTTATTTTATTTTTAAATTTATACTTTAAAAATAAATATTTTATTTGACTTTAAAATTTTTTGTAATTTTTTTTAGAGACGAGGTCTTGCTCTGTTGCCCAGGCTGATCTTGAACTCCCTGTTTCAGCAATCCTCCCACCTCAGCCTCCCAAAGTGCTGGGATTACAGGCATAAGCCACCCATGTCCAGCCTATATACTGCATATTTTGTTTATATATTATATATGTACATAGGATAAGGTGTTGGCTCACCCGATTATGGAGGCTGTGAAGTCTCATGATTAGTCATCTACAAGCTGGAGACCCAGGAAAACCAGTGGTGTGGTTCAAAGGCCTGAGAGACAGAGGGCCATTGCTGTAGTTTCCAATCTGAGTCTGAAGGCCTGAGAAACAAGAGTGACCAGAACAGGGAAGATTAATGTCCTAGCTGAAGCAGTAAGGCAGAGGAAGCCAGATTCCAACCTTCTTTGCCTTTTCGGTCTAATCAGGCCCTCAACAGATTGAATGATGCCCACCTGCCCTGGGGAGGGCCATCTGCTTTACTTGGTCCACCAGTTCAAATGCTAATCTCTTCTGGAAACATCCTCACAGACACACCCAGAAATAATGTTTCCTCAGATATCTGGGCATCCTGTTGCCTAGTCAAGTTGATACATAAAATTAATCATCACAGCAAGATTGTAGACATAAGTTCAAATACCGTAAGCCCTTGGTTTACTCATCTGGAAAAGGGGAATAATAATACAGGGCTGTTGTGAGGATTAAATTATAAATATATATAAAATGCTTAGAACAGTGTCTGACATAAATGCTATGTAGGCATTAGCTATTAGTATTGTTACTATCATTGTCAATATGGAGGGCATGATATATGATTTATACCTTGCCTAGCCTGGATGAGAGTCCCTATAATTGGGCAAGTAAGGACCAAAAGCTGATGGAACTGTTGAGAGAAGACTCCTTAGGGCTCTACCCACAAGTTGAGCTGCTTCAGAGTTTCGGTGACTTAATAGGACAGGGTTGGAGAGGTGTCTCTTTTCATCATCCCTATACTAGATTCTTCTGGCCCCAAGCACTAGAATCTTTGGGAACACTCTGAGGTAGTACCTTGGCATGGACCTCATTGTTCTTGTGACTGGTCGTGGCAGCAGAGAGGCAGTGAGAGAAGAGAGTGGAAACAGCTGTGACTCTTACCAACATATTTTTATAGGGACATAGGAGATACTTTCAGAAATTTATAATGTACCACTTTGAGGACTCTCAGAAATAAATGGGGAGGATTTTGAGGGAGTAATAAATTCCTGTATTATGATGATCAGGTTATCATGCTGGCAGTTGTTTGTGTTAAATTCTTCACCCTCAAGATTGGCATCTTTAGGATTGTCGAGGAGCACAATCCTTCCTTTTGATCCACATCTCTTTGGGCCAACATTGACATAGACTGTTGGGCCAGATGGTCCAGAGACTGGGCCTGCAATCATGGCACTGTATTCTTATATTCCTCTGTGATTAGAAGTGAAAAACTAATATTAAAATAATCAAAAGAATCAGAGCAGTGTTTCAGCAGTTGTTACATTTAAACACTTCTGACAGAAATTTAAATTGTATGATGTATTTTAGTGAATACTTTAAAAATCAATCAATATATAGTGTCTCTGCTCATCTTAGTGTGCCAGACAGGCCATGCAAGTCCCCACCCAATTATATTTTCCCTGTTTGGAAGGCACTGACAGCCCATATTACCCTACCTCCTGTGTACCTCCATTGTGCATCCTGCTGTCCTATCTCCAGCTGGGCCGTTGCTAGGTACTTTCCCATATGCAGGCTTGCCAGTAGCATGAGGTTGCCTCACATAAGAGTTCTACCCAACAGGGGTGTCCTATCCTGTGTAGTGATGAAATTAAACTCTTTGAGGAATTTGAACGTAAGTCATATAGACAGAGACTGAAGAAAGTAATTTAGCATAGAAATGAGGAGACACATAGAGGAAGTTAGCAGAAGCCATGAGGAAAGGGGGAGGATAGAGGTAAATCAGGCAATAATGATGTATGAAGAAGAGGCAGGTAGACACAGAAGGAGATAGGAGGTGCTGAGTCAAAAAGCATGGAGTCTACTAGAATTAAGTCACTAGTGTATCCTTGACAGCCATGAATGGCCTTCCAATTTTTGTGCCCTGCAGGAGTGGTTTTATTTACTTTCATAACTTTCTATGTATCTTGATAATAAGCCTTATCACTTGAAGCCTAAGTGTGCCTCTCTGTTTCTGGAAAGCTGAAGGAACCTAACACCCTTCATTCCAGCACCAGTTTAGCAAACTGACTATGTGGGTTTAATTCCCATGTGGGACAAGTTGGCTTTGCAAGGGTATGTAATCATCCTTTCCAACACCTAACAAGCTATGAAACACCTATCAATTGTTATAAGAAAGATGAGTTTGAGAGTGTGTAAGAACTACTGAGGCTGGGCGCGGTGTAATCCCAGCACTTTGAGAGGCCAAGGTGGGAGGATCATGAAGTCAGGAGATTGAGACCATCCTGGCTAACATGGTGAAACACCGTCTCTACTAAAAATACAAAAAATTCAGCTGGGCGTGGTTGCATGCGCCTGTAGTCTCAGCTACTCAGGAAGCTGAGGCAGAAGAATCGCTTGAACCTGGGAGGCAGATGTTGCAGTGAGCTGAGATTGCGCCACTGCACTCCAGCCTGGGCAACAGAGCAATACTCCATCTCAAAAAAAAAAAAAAAAAAAAAAAAAAAATCAAGAATTACTGAAAACCTGTCCTCAATGTTGTAAAACATATCAAAGCTGAAGACTATTCATAGTGGACCAATAATATTAACTCTTTAACATAAAAAACTACCCCTTCTCCCACTTTCAGATATAAATTACTAGAGAAAACCAAGTAATAAATAAACAAATATATAGTTGAACCATATATTTAAATTTAATTATTTTTACCATTCACTGGGTAAATCTATAATCTCTTGTCCTAACCCTATCAGGATCATGTGGAGTTGGGAAGAGTTTGCATTCCCAAAAGAATGCAAGTGCTGTTACCAGAAGATGGGGAAGATGTGTGTGACAAACAAAAATGATAGACAGCCCATGCATAACTAGGTAGAAGAGGGCTATATCAATATAGTTGATAAAATATTATATTCCAGTAAAATCCATACAGAGCATAGAGCAACATGAATAATGGTTATAAAACAGTATTTAGTCAGAAGGCAATAGAATTGAGGATATAACATGATTAAAACTTCAGAATATGAAAAAGTAAAAACCTTTTGCCTTGTGGTGGTAGAATAATGGATTGTTATGTTAAAAATCATTAGTATATTTATAAGAATATTTCATAATGAAAAAAATACATTCATTAAAAAAGACACCTTATTCTACTTTTAAGTAGGGAATTCCATTTTTTTAAAAAAATATGGGAATCTGCTCTTCAAGTAACTATTTATTGGAAACTTGGAACTGTTTATGAAATCTGTGATTCTTTCCCCTGGCTGTTTACTGGTCTTCCCCCAGGTTGAAGAGCTTGGTAACCGTGTGAAGCTCCATTGCTATTGCTGCAGAAACACTGCCAGTTTGAAATGACTGCTGCCACATGCCGTCACTCACCACCGTTATCAAAATCTGAGTGGCTTAGGTGGTCTGCAGGGAGGTCCCACTTTTGCCAGAGCTAGTCCAAAGACCCTTTCAAGGCGTTGTTTGCCACAGTTTTGAGCCTGGTTATATCCAATGTGTAGGGAAGGCTGCTCCTCTCCCCAGTACTGTACTCAGTCTAGGGCAGACTTGGATAGAAACATGTGATGATAACAACAACAGCAGAATACAACTGCTTGGATTCCAGAGGTGTAGTTCCCCTGGGTCCACTGTGTGAGCTCACACACATACACACACACACACACACACACACAAACATCTATTTTCCCTCTGATGTGTGACTACCATTCATTTTTTCAGAGGAAATAATTGACCATTTTACTCGTTTGTGACCATAAAGAGGGCAGGCTGGAAGAAATAATTGTGATTATAATGACATTTGTGGATGTGAAAGATTTGGAGGAGGGGCAATCCCTGCTGAGCTTTCAACACTGAACATATGTTAATTTATAATTGGGGGTGTGTTTGGGGGGGTTATATTATGCAATAACTATTGAGGAATGAGCAAATTGGAAAGAAGCAGATTTGGTTTGTGCAAAGATACTTCCGATTATGGTAATACATGGAACCTGACTATCCTCTATGTGTGATCACCACACAGCTCAATATTTGCAAATATATTAAAACTTATTTTATTTTATCATACCGGTATATTCTATACCTATTCATCTTCCCAACTTGGTGTCTATATAGATTAATATATTCTTCCAGGTCATGTGGTTCCCTGTTCACACATCATAGTTCATCCACATACTACTCTTCCAGCCTAAATACCAGTAGGGTGACCAACTGACCCAGTTTATCTGAGACTGAGGGAGTTCCTGGAATGTGTGACCCTCAGTGCCAAAACCAGGATAGTCCTGAACAGAGATGAGTTAGGCTAATCTCAGGTCTGCTGTGAAGCCTTTACCGACTTTATTCCCACCCATTCTAAAATGGCCTTCAATGAATTATTTTCATCTTTAAGGCTAATACACACTCAGTTTCAGTTTATTTAACATATATTCTCTATTGGGGGATTGTTTGCAAGTTTCTTGAGGGTAGGACCCACATATTTTTAACAGCAGAGTGCTAAGTAAGTATTAGAAAATAAAGTGGATCTAAGAATTTAAAAGTTATACTTACATTGTTTTAAACATTATGCAAGCTTCCTTTTGGTTGAATTAAGTAAAGCAATGAAGCTTAATGGTTATGAATGTGGATTTTATTTCAGGACAGGCTTGGGTTCAAATTCCCATCCTGTCAGTTATTGATTATGTGACAGTGGGCAAGTTAATTAACCTCACTGATTCTCAATTTCTTAAATCTGTAAAATGGGAATAAAAATAATAACCACTTCCCAGGAATATTGTAGGCATTAAACAAAATAATGGCTAAGTGTGTAGTATTTTGTGTAGCACATAGCACACAACTCGTTATTATATGGTATTTGTTAATAAATGATTACAAATCAATTAATTGTATTCTTCCATGCATTGTTTCTTCCAGAGAGTTTATGTCATCCCAGGCAAAAGCAGTTATTAAAACTACTGATGATTATTTGCAGTCTCAGTTTGGCCCCAACAGACTCGTGCATTCAGCAGCAGTATCAGAAGGGTCAGGACTTCAAGATTGCTCCACACATCAAACAGCATCAGATCACAGCCATGATGAAATATCAGACCTAGATAGCTACAAATCAAACAGTAAAAACAATTCTTGTTCTATATCAGCATCCAAGAGAAACAGACCTGTCAGTGCTCCAGTGGGTCAACTGAGGTAATCAAAGCTGTTCTCTGTTCTTTTTAACCTATTGTTGAAGTTCTTTCCTTTGAGCAGAGTTTATAATGTTTCAATTGACTATCTCAGACATTAAAATGTAACACATCTCTCGGGTTTTGTTTTTGTTTTTGTTTTTTTCTTTGAAAGCACCAGAGTAGAATGTTGTTAATTACACTGTGGGAAATATGAGATACACTTCAACCCGGGCAATCAGAAACTCTGAAAAGAATATTTGAAGCAGAATCAGGCTAGGATCATGAAATATCTTTGCTCACACGAACTTATTTAAAAATAAAAATGCTTTCTTTTGATATTTAACCAATAGTTTGAAACAGAATTGAATTGAATGAAATTATTATAAAACAATTTTGTAAATATGTTTTCACATCAAATTGTTATCATAAACTGTTAACATGAGAGTTCATAGACAGAAGAAAATATTAGTAAAAACAAAAATCAAACCAAGAAACTAATACCCCACTATTTTCAAATGTTTGAATATGTGGATATGTTGTGTTTTTAATTTGTGTGACATTTTTATTTTAAAATATTTACTCTTCTTCTGTGGCATTACAAATTAACTTGGTTAGTTAGAGAATTATGAAGAAAATTTGACGTTAGTCAGTTTACCACATACTTTTGCTGAGAAAAATCATAAATATCAAAATTAGTTTTGCCTGAAGACAAAACTTAGAAATCTTCACCGTTACCACTTCCGAACAGTTTGAAATGAGAGCAATACAATTAACCTTGGAATCAAAATTTTAAAATCAAATATTTTTGAATTTTAAACATTTTTTAAAAAAGTTAAAGAACTTTGATAAACCTGAAAACTTGGATAGAATCTTAGCCATTTGCTGTTTCATGATATTAAGACCATATTACTATTTTTTGCTATCAGAACATATCTCATATATATAATTTTTAGTTGCATATAATATATATATATTTTAAAAGGACTGTTGTGTTTTATAAGTAAAGTGATAAGAATCATTTATTCTGATATATATGTTTTATATGAGCAGTTTTGGCAAACACTGTGTTTTAAATTTTTTTGAATATTTAAATAGTGAGAGTGTTACTCTGTAACAACAATCTTATCCTATAAAAAGTTTTGTTAGGTATACTTATATACATAGGAACAATCTTTAGTGCTTATATCTGTTTAAAAAAATCCAGGATAATATTTATTTAAAAGCTTTCACTAATTAGCATGCATCAATTTTTCTGTTTTTCTTTTTCTTCAGGGTTGCAGAGTTCTCTTCTTTAAAATTTCAGTCAGCCCGGAATTGGCAGAAATTGTCTCAAAGACACAAACTTCAACCAAGAGTGATTAAAGTAACAGCTTACAAAAATGGATCTAGAACAGTCTTTGCCAGAGTTACTGTACCAACCATCACCTTGGTAACTAGTGTTCCAAAGTTTTCTGTGCTTTATTTTTTTTCCCTTACTCTCTTTATAATATAAAAAATGAGAAAATTATTGTTAATATTTTCTTTTTGAGAATCTGAATCTACCGATTGCTTATATATACGTAGATTTCATAGGAATTTCACTCCTCTCCTTTTTTAAAAAAATTCAATATATAAACAGTGTATTTAAACAGATGAAACTCTACAATACCTTGTAGAGTTATTAAAATGACAGATCATTTAAATGTTAAATTTAGTCAATAATTAGATATGCTTCATGCTGTGACTTACCTTTTATTTCTATATTTTCAACTGCTAGAAAATAACTGTATTGGCAAGTGACTCAATTGGGTTTCTATTTTGATCATTAGAACCTTTTGTTTTGAGGGAAATATATTACTTTCTTTGTAGTAAATCACTTTGACTTACCTCTTGCTTTCTTCTAGCTGCTGGAGGAGTGCACAGAAAAGCTGAATCTGAACATGGCCGCAAGACGAGTGTTCTTGGCAGACGGCAAGGAAGCCCTCGAACCTGAAGATATACCCCATGAAGCCGATGTTTATGTTTCAACGGGAGAGCCCTTTTTAAATCCATTCAAAAAAATTAAAGGTAAAAAAGATCTAAAAAATACCCTACCCCCACACATACTGAATTGCTTAAGGGGTGCAATTAAAAAATGATTTTCATCCTGTCTTTTTTGCATGGTTTAACAAAACTAATGTTTACGCATTTACAGCTCAGTAAGAGGATAATGTGCTTAATGAAAGAAAAATCCACTGACAGCCACGTTTATTGCCCTTCATTAGCATTGGTGCTTAATTTAATATAGATCTGAATAGACATTAGGGAGCCTGCAGGAGGTTAAATGGTGAAAATATAATAAATTAAATCAGAGATTATTGAATTTACTGTTTAGTTTCTGTGACACTCAACAGACATAATTCATTAGACTTATCCTCTCAGAAAATAGTTCAAAGTTTTAAGTATCATTTATTCATTTACACTCTTGGTCTTTTTTCAGATAGTATCAACATAATTATGAAAATGTGGCCAATAATGAACATACATTTCTTATATACATATGATTCTCCTAATAACGTATTTCATAAGAAATGTTCCAGCTTGATTATTTTTTAACCTTAAAATGTATAATATAATCCTACACATATTTTCAATTAAGGTTTTCCAAAAAGTTCATTTCTTCCAACATTTCAGAAATGTGGAGATTTTCTAAAATTTAAAAAAATAACATTTTTCTTTCCTCAGTGGAAAAGAATACATTTTAAGGGAGAAATAAAAGCACTACTATCTAAGAATATTCTTCCAAGCATGTTGTACCCAGAGTTTGGTATCTAGTGCTATGTATGATAATTGGATTTAAATAACAGGAATAAGGACTTTGCCATAAAAATTCAGTGTGTCTAACTGCTGTACTTTCCTATGCTTTTTATACTTTATTAGAAGTAATTTTTTTCTGCAACTTCTATAAAGCTAGTGAATCAAAGGCAAGTCTAGGCAGTAATTGCATAAGTAGAAGAAAAGTAATTCTGGAGTTCATTACAGATGAGGTGATAAAAATCTCCCTTCTGTTAATGTTATTGTATAAAGTTGTGCTAGGATTTCTCTTTTATATAATACTTGATCTTCAGGAAATAAGCAATTTCTTGAATTCAATAGAAAATTTAAGAAAATTTCATTCTTGTAAAGAAACTTGTTGCTATAATGGTCATTGAAAATTACCTATGTGATAGTGTAGACTCATATATTTTTCACATTTTGCTTTAAGTTTAAAATATGGCTGGCTGCCTTAATTTTATATTCATTGAATCATTTGCTTATATAAAAACATGGGTCGTAGTGGGCAAATACTTTTCTGTGACTTTAAAAAATTCAGATATATTTGTAATGATTGCTTCATTAAGATCCTTGATTATTGTTATTAATAAGAAATGCTTGCCTTTCATATGAATAATGGTATTGTAGAAGAGACATATAAAAATTATTTATAGCTAAGCTAAGAAGAAAATCTCCTGGACATGTATGCCTGAAATAATAATGTCACACACATGACTGAGCTTGGTGGATGATTTTTAAATGTACTAACTAATTTCCTCCTACTTTTTGTTTTCTCTTTTATCCTTTTCAAAAGCCAAGTCCAGAACAAAAAACTTCTCTGCTTTGTCTGCGTATCTTTGGCTGTGTTTCACTGTGACATGCACTGCTGTTCTTTTAGCACCAAAATGTTGGCACACATTCCTGAAAATTTCACACCATCTCTTGCTGGATCAGCAAGCTTAACCCACCAAAATCTGGTGTTGTGCAATGGTTTTTGACTGATAATCAATCTTTATGCTGCTCGACAGTTGTTGCTGGGACACGGAGTAGAGCAGGTGGCAGATGTGCCTTGTCTTTTGAGAAAAGAAATTGTAGGTGAGCTTGGACACAGACTAGCATATCACATGTCCATTAAAAAGAGTTAGGATAAGTATAATGGGGAAAAGCCATTCATCTAAGTTGAGCTTATAGATAAGCTTAAACAATGATATTTGGTTTCTTTCAGAATGTTAAGAATATAAATGTAAACATATATACATTTATATATGAAAGATAATATTTAACTTGATGTGAGTGATATATTACATATCACTCACATATTCACATACACTTTTTCAAACCACCAAAATCAGCTTGAAGATTACCTTTCTGTCATCTGTTTTACAGATAAATCGATAATTTTCCAACTAGCCACAAGTGTACCATTAAAATAAAAACGTGTGAATAACTTTGAAAGTGGTAGATAAACTTAAAGAGACATGATCAGAAGTTGGATAATTGAACATGCTAAAGGTAAATAGGGGAAATCAATTGGCAGAATTAAGTGTTAATGATGTATCTTTCTAAATGAGCATAAGTATTTTATATACAATTGATAACTGGTCATTGTTTTAATTTACAGACTTTTATTCATTCAACAAACATTTATTGAGAGTCTATATATGCTAGATACTAGGCCAGGTCAGAGAAAGATAAAAGCTGTGGTTCATAGTCTGATTTCTTTTTTATCATTATTCTTTCATCTCTAATTTAAATTCAATTTAATGCAATTAAATCAAAATTTAAATCAACACATTTTTATTGAGTACCTACTATGTGTGCCCCAGCATAGGGATAGAAGTCCTGGCCTTTAAGGAACTTAAACTGAGTAGATAAGTTATGAATCCTTCAAACTGAGAATACTATTTTACAACATAAATCAAATGGATCTTATTTTATTTCTGGCATTGGAAGGCCAAACAAGCCAGTATATATTTTGGCAATTATATATCTATACTTCAGTGGTTTTCCTTATTCATTGGAAAAGCAGTGTAGATGGAGAAAATTGCCTAAGAACGATTTCCAGATTTACTAAGACAGAAAAAATCCTATAGAACATCTCTGATATTTTAACTATTTTACTACGCCTTTTGAGCATAACTGTTGACAACCAGTGGCATTGGATCTAATAGAAAGCCGGAGAGCTATTCATCACATACCTTGAAACACAAAGCTTTCATACGGAGGTCAGGCCAAGGTCAAGACTGACATGAAGCATTCCTTGTTGAAATGCAGTATTAGAATAATTCTTACATTTTAAAGTTGAATATTTAATCATAAATATTAATTGTGTATGGAAAAGATCAGGAAAATAGAAATATTTTATATAAATACTGTTGATAATGTTGCCTTATTAGGTATTATACTTCTGGCATTTAAAGTTTCTGACATTTATTAATAATTCATTGAAATTATGAATAGGTAGTTAATGAATTGTTTGAAAAGGCATATTAAGTTTTCTGATTCATGGCCATGTGGTTTAGGTTTTATTCACAGTTTCCTAAATCTTCTGCTTAATTGTGACACAGTGAAAATTCTTGGATCAGATCCATGGGGTTTATAAGAGTTCAGTTCCTTTATAACTGCTAGGAGCTGTATGTAAGTAATGCAAACATAGCATAATAAATGGTTCGTGCCCTGTGATTGCCTGAATATCTTAAATAAGATGAGGAGAAAACACTATTTAGACCTAATTCGTTAGGTCCAAGTTCTGTTGTATGGAGTTCTGATTGTCTTTAAAACTTTTTGGTTGAATATTTCTACTCTCTCCTGTATATCCTATTCTATTACTGGGCTTTCAGAATTATCATTTACAGTGATTCATTTCAGTCCTGAGTTTTGTTAACCAGAAGTGAAACTTGGTATTATGAATAAGATTTTAAATCTTTTAGATCCAATATTGTGAAGACGTAGTCACAGAAAAAAATGCATGAAAGGAGTTCTTGATACTACACCTAAGATCTAAATTTAAGCCTAGAGATTTTCTAGTAACTGCCATGTGATCTACAAAATGAAATAATTTGCTATGACAGCTTGTGATTGACAAGAATATGTGTGAGCACATTTAAAATAGGCCATCTTTTCATGTAGAAGTGTCAGTGAAATGATGGATTCTCATCATTTTAATTATTGATGATTTGGAAATATTTCAATTCCACGACACACAAGACACATTCTAAATAGCAGCATAACACTTTTTCTCATATCTGCGTCCATAATGAAATGTTCTGTCATATTTTGTTTTTCAAAAAATGCATTCATTTAATGAACCTGGATTCATGCATTATATTCTCTTCCATTATATGTCTACTGAATTTGTTGATTTTTAAATTGTTATGTTAAAAGCACAAATTTCAATAGGTGACCCACTACTCACATCACATCATACCTTAATATTTCTGCTGCTAGATCTCAAGACAGAACGCTATAGTGCTGCCTACACCAATGGCTGCTTTAGTCTTGCCAAAACAGATACCAGCCTTTGTGGTGTTCACCTACAGGGCAACCACTACTTAATTCAATCAGCTAAGGTAGTTGGGACTGGCTTTCCCAAATTCCCTTTTATCTTTTGGTTTGAATAGTGTATTTATTAGGTTAGATTGTTTGTACATTTTAACTTCCACTTTTCTATATATATTCAAAAGGAGGAAGATGGCATTATGTGGTGAAAAAAAAACATTTTCTTCTCAGACAGCATATGATTCTTCTATTTCTATAAGTGAGGGTAAAACTATAGGAAAATATTTTATGTATTTTCTATTCCAAAGTTTTAAATCTGTAAATAAAAGAATAGAATATCCTTGGTATATAAAATAGGTGTGGATTTGAAGACAATTATAAGAGATGGACCAAAAAAGTGTTCTTAGTCAGTAGGAAAATCTATAGCCTGCGTGTGGCTGGCAGCATCTCTTTGTATTGTCAAATACCAAATCATTGAAAAACACCTAAATTCTTGACATAACCATAAAATGTTGAATTATATTCATACACAGAGACTACATTTGTTTACTGTACAGATGCTTGCAAACCTATACTGTCCTGTTAACTTGAATGCATTTACAAAATCGAAAATGAAACAGTTACCTTTAAATCAAATCACTTAGTTGTCTGCCTATGCTGCTTGTTACTTTACCTGAGAATTCATTTATATATTCTATAGTTATTCTTTCAGAGTGGTTTGCTTTTTGAACTTTTCACTTTTGAAGGCTTTAGATATCTTGTTAGGAGAGTTGTGAGAAATGCATTATTGTTTATTTTAAAGGACACTAGACTCGAAGTCAGCTGATGTTGCAAGATTCTAGTCCCTGTGTCTGGTCTTGGGCAAACTGGTCTGCACTTCAGTGTCCTTATCTGTAATATAGATGAAGTAATACTTTAAATGCCTATTGGATATTTCTAATAAAGATAAATCATTTGAAAATTAAGTGTCTATAAGCCCCTGGTCTAAACAGAAAACTGAGAATACCATCTTATAAACATAACTAAGACTTGAAGTTAGTCAGAACCTTGTGTCCACTTTTACCTTTCTAGAATAGCTGGCTGGGCTCAGGAAAATAACAACAACAACAAAATTTGTTTCTACTTTCTTCATCACTGCCAGGAAAGCAAACTAGAGTGTGTACCTGGGCCAGTCACTTAATCTCGCTAAGCCTAAGTTTCTTCATCCATAAATTGAGCATAATAGTTTACACCTCGGCCAGGTGTGGTGGCTCTCGCCTGTAATCCCAGCACTTTGGGAGGCCAAGGCAAGCAAATCGTGAGGTCAAGAGATCAACACTATCCTGGCCAACATGGTAAAATCCCATCTCTACTAAAAATACAAAAATTAGCTGGGCATGGTGGCGCGAGCCTGTGGTCCCAGATACTAGGAAGGCTGAGGCAGGAGAATTGCTTGAACCCGTGAGGCAGAGGTTGCAGTGAGCCGAGATCATGCCACTGCACTCCAGCTTGGCGACAGAGCGAGACTCTGTCTCAAAAAAAATAAATAAATAAAAAATAAGTTTACATCCCACAGATGTATTATGGGAAGTAAAGAAGATGATATAAAAACCTGGCATATGATAGTTACCTGAAATGTTATTTTTCTACCTGCCCTTATTTATTTTCCTTCTTTTGCTCCATCCTCTCTAGGTATGTTTCCACAAGCTTTTCATACAAGTTGTCACACGTATCTGACTTTACTAACAAAGGTATTTGCTAGGTCTGAGATCTTGAAATAAATACAACCAAATTAAAATACCTGCCAAGTAGTTATGTATACAGCATGATATGGGAATGTGAGTTAAAGGCTTTGAACTCTCAATATCTAGGGTGTAGGTCAAAATCAAGGCCTTTTATAAAAGGACCCCCAAGTGGCCTTAGTCTGCTCCGTTCCAAAAGTTGTATTTTAAAATATGTTCGTGACCCAGGGCTAGTCTTAACTTTAAGCTGCCATAACTTATTTAAAGAAAGTTCATAGAAAAGTTCAGGGAAAGGGTGACAACATTTTGATTGGCACAATAGATGGGATGTTTGTAATTTTAATCAAATGTAAATTGAAGACATACTTCAAATGATATGTCAGACTAGTGTTACTGAGTTAAAATCTAATGACAACCACTGTCATTATTAGTTAAATATAGCCATCATGCCTATAGCAATAAATGATGACACTTAAGAACATGCAGAAACAAAGAGCGCAAGTATTTAGAGAAAAGGGAGTGACTAGAAACTCAGTTGAATGCAGGAATGTGACCTGGATTTAATCTATTTACCAAACATAGAAGCAATTGTATTTTGGGTAGATGATATAATTGAATATAGCAGTATGTTTTCTTACTGTCGGAGCATTTGTATTTTATAAACTCATCTTGCATTCATGAAATGATGTGCTTATTCATATTTAATGTCATTATCTATACCTACTTGACAGTCAGAGTGTTGTGTTTTCAAATTTATTGCACAACTACCAGAGAACAAATTTTTTTAATAAGCTTGTGGATTTGAAGTTGCAAGTTTGCTGCTTTTTATTCTAGAAGTAAAAGAAGGCAGCATTCTTTTTACTTGGTACAAGCAAAATGGAAAATTATAATGTTAGGAGCATCCAGATTTATTTAATTTTGTGACAGACATTGGCTTTTTTGAAGTAGACTGAGGAAATATAATTATATTGTAGATAGACCTTTTAACAGAAAAGCAAGCTAAGAAGTGCTTTATCTTTTTCATGGTTTGGTTAAAAATAAATCATGAAAATAAAATAAGACATGGATTCTATCAAATAAAATATAATCTATGGTTGGAACATAAGTTTCTCTGAGTGCTTTGGGAGAGTATATGAACAGTCAGGCGGACATGGCAGTCCCTGAGCAGCTGAGATACGACCCTTTTGGGAACTGTTTTCCAAGGTTATGCTAAACCTTAGGTCCTCACTAGAGTCCAGTCACCACCTGCATCCTAACCCAGCAGAATCTTAACTTTCCAGAGAAAAGTACCTGAGGAGAGGAAGACTGGGACAGGTCTAGGTCTGATTGCTTTGAAAACCACCAGGTGTGGCTAGCATATTTAGAGGGGATAAGGTAATCAGGTGAGACAAGGGCCCTTTCTTTGGCAGTTGGTTGTGGAGGGCAGAGACCTTGCTGAAAGAACTATCAACAAGGTAGTGATTCAAGAACAGTCCAAAGGGAAAAAGGTAGAGATTCAAGAACATTCCAAAGGAGAAAAGGTTGAGACTCAAGAACAATCCAAAGGGGAACTCGGATGTTACTGCCGTTGAGATTTGTGAACTCGGAATATCTGAGACAGGTCTCAGTCAATTTAGGAAGCTTATTTTGCCAAAGTTAAGGATACATGTCTGTGAGACAGCCTCAGGAGGTCCTGATGACATGTGCCCAAGGTGGTCCGAGCACAGCTTGGTTTTATACATTTCAGGGAGACATGAGATATCAATCAATATATGTAAGATGAACATTGGTTTGGTCCAGAAAAGCGGTACAACTCAAAGCAAAGGTGGGGCAACTCGAAGTGGGGATGGGCCATTAAGGTCAAAGGTAGATAAGAGACAAATGGTTGCTTTCTTTTGAGTCTCTGATTAGCCTTTTAACCTGATTCTTATAAAGGTACCAGATAGCCTCAGCCCTAGGAGTTGAAAATTTTTGAATTTTTAGAGATGAGAAAGTTAATGAAAGACAGAAATGTAGGAAGCATTTGTTAATAATGGCTAGTATGGGGGCCGGGCATGGTGGCTCATGCCTGTGATCCCAGCACTTTGGGAGGCCAACGCTGGCAGATTACAAGGTCAGGAGTTTGAGACCAGCCTGGCCAATAAGGTGAAACCCCGTCTCTACTAAAAATATAAAAAATTAGCCAGGCACGGTAGTGCGCGCCTGTTGTCCCAGTTACTCGGGAGGCTGAGGCAGGAGAATCGCTTGAGGTTGCAGTGAGTCGAGATCATGCCACTGCACTCCAGGCTGGGTGACATAGCGAGACTCTATCTCAAAAAAAATTAAAAAAAAAATGGCTAGTATGTTTTCCTAGAAATTCAAAGTAGATTCAGATGGCATTAGGGTTCTTGTTTGAATTGCTTGGCTCCCTGCCCCACATACCCTACAGTCCCCTCACTATTTTGTTGCTACTCACTCCACTCACCCCCAGCCTTTGAGAATAGCCTCTTCCTCGCCAGGGCTGAAGTCTTGTCAAGTCTTTGCTGACCGTCTTCAGTTTCTCTGTGTTGGCATGGAAGAGTCAGATTCTGTTTTTCTTCTTGCCTCTGGATGTAATAATGCTTACCCTGGCTGTCAGCCCTCGAACCACATTTCTTGATATGAAAACATATGTCCTCAGAGGGGTGATGTACAGAAGAATCACTTCCTGTTGCTAAATAGGAGGGTTCCCTGGTTGATATGGTCTGGCTCTGTGTCCCCACGGAAATCTCATATTGAATTGTAATCTGAAATATAATCCCCTCATGTTGGGGGAGACGCCTTGTGGGAGGTAATTAGATCATGGGGGTGGTCCCCCCCATGCTGTTTTCATGATAGTGAGTGAGTTCTCACCAGATCTTATGGCTTTATAAGGGGCTTTTTGCCTCTTTGCTCTGCACTTCTCCTTCTTTCCACACTGTGAAGAGGATGTGTTTGCTTCTCCTTCCACCATGATTCTAAGTTTCCTGAGGCCCTCCTATTCATGCTGAACTGTAAGTCAATTAAACCTCTTTTTAAATAAATTACCCAGTCTTGGCTATGTCTTTATTAGTGGTGTGAAAATGCACTAATACAGTAAATTGGTACCAGGTAGTGGAGCGCTGCTGTAAAGATACCCAAAAATGAAGCAACTTTGGAACTAGGTAATGGGCAGAGATTGGGACAGTTTGGAGGGCTCAGAAGAAGACAGAAAGATGTGGGAAAGTTTGGAATGTCCTAGAGACTTGTTGAATGGCTTTGACCAAAATGCTGTTGTTGATGGAGCAGTAAGGGAAGATCTTAAACTGGATCCTGAGAAGGACTTGAGTCTGAATAGGTGAAGTATGGGTTTAAAAGTGAACAGGGATAATGAACAGATTTGCTTAGGTAAAACAGTGCTTCAAACTAGGGTAAGACAAGAACAGAAAGTTTGAATGGCATCAGATTGTAAACTCTTCTGTTAGACATAAGGTTAGGAAAAAGGACTTGTGTCTTTTTTCATATTCCTTGCACAGAATCTGGCACATAGGATACACTCAACAAGTATTTGTTGACTGCCTGACAGACCCCTGATGGGCTGGCTGGCTGGCTGGCTGGCTGGCTGACTGACTGACTGACTAGGAGAAAACTTCAAAAACTAGTTCCAAGAGTTTTCTCTTTAGGTAATGATAAAATTGATGTCTTAGGAAAACTCAGTTGTGATTGGTGTATAGAATGTCAGATGTGATGGAGGAGAATCATATACAATTAGAAAGTTCTTGCAGATTTTAGGAGGCAGAGACAGAAATGGACAAATGGGTCTGGTTGGAAATGGAAAAAAAATGATGCTTTGAAGAGTTACTGTGAAGAATGAATAACCGAGAGGTCTCCCTCCCTTCCTTTACCGCGTCTCAGGTCAGATTCCCTAGAAGCAGAACCTGAGATGAGGATTTTAGTGCAAGAGACTTGTTGAGGGAATACTCTCAGTTGAACCATGTAAGGGAGTGAGAGAAGGAGCCTAGAGCAAAGGAAGAAGCATGGCCAAGACATGTGTTCACTGGAAATCTACCCCCAGTCTGAAATGTGAAAGACACCAGAGAATTGCTCCCCTTTGAGGCAAGGGGACTGGCTACTATGCCCCAGAATCAGTCAATCATTGGCTGTCGGCTGTCTCCCTAGGTAAGAGGGAGGAGATCACAACCTCATAGGCATTTCCTGACTAGGTTTCTTTCAGTCAAAGGCAATTCTCAGAAGGGTGCAGCTGTGCAATGGTCACAGCCAGGACTCAAAGCAGCTGGAGTTTGGGTGCACTAGCCTGCTAAAAGGCACCTTGGGGGGGCACCAACAGTGTCTACTACACTATGCACTATAGTCGACCCTCTGTATCCACGGGTTCTGCATCTGTGGGTTCAACCAACTATGGATCAAAAATACTCAGAAAAAAAGAGCTATAAAAAATAACAATAGAATAATAAAAAATAATACAAACAAAAATACAGTATAACAACTATTTACTTAGCATTCACATTGTATTAGGCATTATAAATAATCTAGAGATGATTTAAAGTACACAGGGGGATGTGTGTAGGTTATATACAAATACTACTACATTTTATATAACGGACTTGAGCATCTACAGATTTTGGTATCCCAGGGGTCTTGAAACCAAGCCTCCATGGATACCCAGGGACAACTGTACTTTCTTCACATAGCACCCTGCTGAGAATCTTCTAACAGCTTCCCATCACATCCGGAATAAAATCCAAATCCTTTATCTTGATCTGAACAATGTGGCCCCTTTTCTGCCTCTTTGGCTTTAACCACATACACTCTTTCTGTTTTCTTTTTCTTTCTTTCTTTCTTTCTTTCTTTCTTTCTTTCTTTCTTTCTTTCTTTCTTTCTTTCTTTCTTTCTTTTTCTTTATTTTTCTTTCTTTCTCTTTCTTTCTCTTTCTATTTCTTTCTTTTCCTCCCTCCCTCCCTCCCTCCCTTCCTTCCTTCCTCCCTCTCTCTTTCTCTCTTTCTTTCTTTCTCTCTCCCCTTCCCTCCCTGTCCCTTCCCCCCCTCCCTCCCCTCCCCTTCCCTCCCTCCCCTCCCCTCCCCTCCCCTCCCCTCCCCATCCCTTTCCTTCCCTTCCTGAGTTTCACTCTTGTTGCCCAGGCTGGAGTGCAGTGGCACGATCTCGGCTCACTGCAACCTCTGCCTCCCGAGTTCAAGCAATTCTCCTGCCTCAGCCTCCCGAGTAGCTGGGATTACAGGCGCCCACCACAATGCCTGGCTAGTTTTTTGTATTTTTAGTAGAGATGGGGTTTCACCATGTTGGCCAGGCTGGTCTTGAACTCCTGACCCTGGGTGATCCAACTGCCTCGGCCACCCGAAGTGCTGGGTAATTACAGGCATGAGCCACAGCGCCCATTCTGTTTTTCTTTCTTGAACATGCCAGGCCTATCCTCATTTCGAGTCTCTGTGCTTGGTTTTCACTCTGCTTGGAATACCTTTCCCCCAGATTTTCACAACTAACTTCTCATCTCATAGGCCTCTCTGTTCAAAGAGACCTTACACTGTCAGTTTCTCTGCCAGAGCCTGTGAACTGCACAAGCAGCTCTGTCCTCCTTACAGTTGTCGCCCTGGTGCCTTGATGTGTGGACACCCAGTAAATATTGTTGAATGAATAAGCAATTAGTTGGAGAGAAATGATTAAGCAGTATGGGTTCAAGGTCTCGCCGAGAGAGTGGATAACTGTAAAAGAAGTGGAAACACTGACAGAAATAAGAACTGTGAAGGGTGAGACAGTTTGTGCAGAAAGATATGAAATTTTGCTTTAGACATTGAATTTGAGATATATGGTAGTGGCAAAAGAGTGCAGTGATTAGGAGCACAGCTTCTTGAACTAAATTCATGTCCCAGTGCCACCACATACCAGTTGTATGATCTTGGGCAAGTTAATGCCTCTGTGCCTCAGTTTTCTCAACTGTAAATAAGGATAATAATATTACCTATCTCATAAAGTTGTTGAGAGAGATAAATAAGGTAGTATCTATAAATCACATAAATGGAGTCTGGCTATAGTACTGTTTTTCATGGAATTTAAGGAGTTCTGCATGTGAAAGAGACAGTTTCAGCCAGGGCTGGGACTACAGTTGGGTGAGTGAAGTATCACTGGGACACAATTTGAGGAGGCATTCGCTCTGAGGGTTCTGTGAGGGCCCTGCACAGCTTCCTTAAATTTTGCCTCATTGGCCTTCACTCCCCTCACCCTAGTCCTGGCCTTGGAAAACCCTTTATTGGTAAGATTC
Organism: Homo sapiens; assembly: GCF_000001405.40. Lineage (NCBI taxonomy): Eukaryota > Metazoa > Chordata > Mammalia > Primates > Hominidae > Homo > Homo sapiens. Next base: position 31,293,419 of record NC_000011.10, on the reverse strand, counting down.
TCTAAATCTTGGTGCCTGTAACATCTCCTCCCTCTGGCCTTAGTGGGAGTGGTTTCTTGCTCTTTCTAATTTCTGGGTGGCCTAACTGTCCTTCGGTTGCTTCTCAGCCTTTTCTGTCACTTACATAACCAATTCCCTGCAGTCAGTTTCCTCTGCTCAAATACTCTGAGTAGATTCTGTATTCCTGATTGGACCCTGACTGATGTAACAATTAATATACTCCAATGCTCCATAATAAGCAATAGAACTTCAGGGAGGTGAGGGAAGAAGCTAGCATTTATGGAATGACTTCGATATGTTAGGTAATTTTACATATAAGATATTTAATCCCTGTCACGTAGTGGAGTGATGCTCACTAGATAATTTTTAATGAGAAATCTGAAATTCAGGGAGGTATAGTGCATCTAGTGTCACTAAGAAACAGAGCTAGGGTTCAAACGTAGTTTGAAGGTAGAGTTAATACCCTTTCACCATGCAAAGCATCTAGGGGCATCCAGATTGTGGGTAAACTCCCATTACACTACAATAATTCATTCATATTTTTTTTTCCCCTGTGAGAGATTTTTTTTTTTCCCAGAGAAATACTGTCTGACAATGATCAGCACCTATGGACCTCCTCCTCTTCTTTTTTTCTTCTTTATTTATTGAGGTCACATAATGCAAAATTAATAATTTTAAAGTGAGCAATTTAGTAGCATTTAGTACATTCACACTGTTGTGTAACTAACATCTCTATCTAGTTCCAAAATATTTCCATCATTTCAAAATAAAACCCCTTACCCATTAAGCTTCTCTTCAATCCCCTCTCCTCCCTGCTGCTGGCAACCATCAGTATATGTTCTGTTTTTATAGATGTACCTATTCTGATATTTCATGTAAATGGAATCATACAATATGTCACCTTTTTTATGTCTGGCTTCTTTCATTTAGCATGTTTTTGAGGTTTGTCCATTTTTTAGCAAGTATCAGTACTTCATTCTTTTTTATGGCTGAATGATATTCCATCTGTGTTATACATTGTACTATCATTTGTTTATCCATTCATCTATTGATGGACATTTGGTTACCACATGTTGGCTATTGTAAATAGTGCTGCTATGAACATGTGTGTTCATGTACTTACTTGAGTATCTGTTTTCAATTCTTTTGGCTATTTATGAACTCATTAACTTATAGCTTATTTTTCTATTATAATTTCTAATTCCTATTAATTTCAGTTTACAAAATGAAAACAGAGTAACAAATTGCTGTTAAAATGTTTTTTCTCTTTTTGAAGACTTATGTCTATAGTCTTATAATCTAGTTTTAATTTAATCTGCAAGTTTTGTTTATCTATCTGCCACGGTATATGTGTTTTTATATGTGTGTATGTGTGTGGGTAACAGAGAGTGAAAGGGGGGTAAGAATAGAGGATTTTTCTTGTTGTTGTTGTTGTTGAACATTTAATATAGCCATTGTGAGACTCGAAGGTTATTACAACCACTGGCTTGTTTTTCATATCAATATTAGCAGATTTTATGTAAAGTAACATTTCTAGGTCAAAGAGGCCAAGCTTCTTTCAAGGTGAGTGCTAACAGAGAAAGATCATTTGAAAATCTGGGCAAATTTCAATGCAAAATAGCAATAAATGCAGCTATTTTCAGTTATCTATAAATAAAATTATGTTTCTCTCAGAACAAATAAGAGCAGATGAGGGAGGGATCATTGTATTTTTGTAATTTATGTAAGAAGAAAATATGATTAAAATAAATTGAATGCACAAATAAATAGCTCAGGTGCAAATTATTTATTTGTGAAACAAAACCTCTTGAAAAGAGAAGAATGCTGATGGCAACTTAGTATGCAATATACTGCACTCCTCTTCTTACCCTTACATTTTCGAAGTCATACATAGTAATTTAGTTGCACTCCTGTTTATATTAGTGGGAGTTTTAAAACTTAAATTTCTGCACACAGCTTTGAAAATGTATAGGTCAAAGTAAACTGTTAATGAAAAACTGTTTTTCATTTTCAGTGAAATAGTTTAAATCTCTCACCGAGGATGTCCTAGAAGGCACCTTCCTTCTAGTCACAGGAGAAGAATTACAGTATAATGTTACTATTTGGAGGTCAGCATCTTTAAAGCAACATAGATAAGAAATCATATTAAAGAGAAGAGAAATGTTTCCCAACCCTAAAGAACATAAAAGTTCAAGACCTATGTTGTTTTATAGTAAGCAAAGGACACTGGATATTTTCAATAGACCCTTTCAGCTGGGTGCGTTTAATCAGTAATAGAGGCAGGCTAAGGTGAATTTTAATTAGGACTAAATTGTGGTATTACTCTTTCATACCCTGAACATCTGTTCCCTTCAGAAATGATGATTTATGCAGGCTATCAGAGCAGACAGCTTGCTACAGCTTATGTCACAGTTAGTAAGAAACTGGTGGTAGCATTTCAGAAAACCAGCATCTAAATGGAGACTGGCCAGTGTATAATACACAGGTAATAGAGGGAGGGAAGTATGATGTGTCCATTTTTAATTTTGAAGCCAAATATTGACTTGACTTAAAAAATTATCTTCTAGACCATCTGTTGTTAATTAAGAAAGTAACTTGGACAATGAATGGGTTGATGCTTCCTACTGATATCAAAAGACGGAAAACCAAGCCTGTTCTTTCTATTAGAATGAAGAAACTTACTGAGAGGACCTCAGTCCGAATTCTGTTCTTTAAGAATGGCATGGGGCAGGATGGGCATGAGATTACAGTGGGAAAAGAAACAATGAAAAAGGTAATTTTTAATTAAATATTGAACTATGAATTTAATTTCAAAGTTTTGTGGCTGTTGAAATGTGTTGTTTTCTTCTTCTAAATATCGATGCCAACAAATAGAAATATTAACAAGACATTATATAGAACTAAAAAATTCTGTATAAACCTGTTTATAAGTCTGCTTATTGCACTAATACCATAAATTACCTTAGCAAAGCAACAATATTTCAGGAAATTATTTGGCTAACATAGTTAGCCATTTACCTAGTTAAAATGTTATGTTTCTACTAGAGAAAACATTCTAAACATTCTAATTAGTTACAATATTTTATAAGCTATTTAGATTGAAGCCAGTCTAAGCTAGCTTCCAGTCTCAAATCTGCCTCTTTTCATTTAGAATAGTGGTAAGACCTAAAAGCATCCTTGCTCCTCTAAAGAATTAGCAAAGCCCCAAATCACTAAAATGCAGTTTCAAAGTATTCATATAAGTTTTTAAAAACATATCTAAGGGGCCTAAGAAAAATCATGAAACAAGCAAACTTTAAAAAACAGAATTTAAAGTATTACTTGTCATACAAATGCGTGTTTCTTAGAAGGTGCTTGTACTTTCTAAAACATCTTTGATATTAAAAAATACCGAGGAGCTAATGGGAATTTGAAACACACATACATTTTTTTACAGATAAGGATTTTTCAACCAATTTAAAAGCAACCTAATAATAATATAGTAACAAATGTGTTAAGAATGTATGAGAGACAGTAAAACATAACCAAACGCCTAGGGTTGAATCTTGGCTTCACCATTCACTAGCTATGAGGCCTTGGACACCTTTGTTTCCCTGAGCCTCAGTTTCTTCATCTAAAAAAACAGAGATAACAGTAGTGCCTACTTCATAGAGTTGCTGTGAGGATTTAATGTGATACTATGCATCGAGGACAATGCCTGGCACCCAGAAAGTTCTCATTAAATGTTTTCTAGTCTCATTTTTGAGACTCATAATATGCACCTAACAGAAATTAGTTTTCTTTCTAATGGAAAATTTTTATTATGAAATCAAGATAATTTTGTTATACTATACTATTTCGAATTGAATGTTGCTTGAAACAGGTGAATAGTTGACTAGATACTAGAATTTTAATCAAAATATCTACTTCTTCATTTATTTATTTTTGTGGTGGTTTTACAACCACAACTGGTTAAGAGCATTTACCAAGGAGCTGGGAAACCTGAGTTTTATTTCCTTCTTATCTGAAGATTTTGATTATGATATTAAGGGATATTACACAGCAGAGCAAATTGCTAAGGCAAGTTATAACATCTTCCCTGGCCATTTTGAAAAATAGAGAAGATGAACGTATCTCTTGGACTGTTAAAATGCAGTCATTCTTGGAGACAGAAGCTATGTTAGATAACCTCTTGAGTTCACTTCAGTTCAATCTCGTAATTCCATGCCTTAGTGGTAAAATTGGAGTAATAGTCACTCTTACAGATTATATGTTCTTAGATGAAATGTTGAGTATAAATAAAAATGTCACTGCTATTTTGCTTTTTGTCTCTAGAAAGGAATTTATTTAAAACTGGATGATCAATGAAGTCTTTAGCTTACTTTTTTCTTTTATGATTTGTAGAAAATATTTAAAGAATTTTCACAAATTCATGATAGAACTCATGATAGAACATGATTTAGTAACAAATGTATTTGTAAATATTTGCCTCAGTATCACATTTAAGAATGAGGTAAAGGAGAAGAGGCAACAAAATGCTGATCTTGGGTGTCAATAAGAACTTTTTAGAAGGGAAAAATAAGGCTTGCTAATTATTTTGTAAATAAAATTTAAATTTTGAAAGTGTTGTTGATAATCATAGGATCATGCTCTATTTATATATTAAATACCAAATCAGTAATAGAAATAAGTAAGTGGCATAGTCTTAAGAAAAAAACAAATTATTTTCTCTTTTATGATAAAATATTAGGAATGTTAACTATTTCTCAATTACTACTAAGTAATGTAAAACTGAAGTAGAATGTAAAGGATTCTAATATGGTGAAGGTTATTGCAATGAGATAAGAAGAGATTTATTGAGAATGGGTGGTACAATAAGGTAGTTAAAGCATAAAAGTCCTCTCTGAGCACAGAATAGAGCCAAGGGGAAATGACTCTATTTTAATTATAAGTAGAACATCAAAAGGAAATCCATTTATTTACTTTAGGAAGTAATTAAGAAGTTTGAAATGAGGGCCAAAATGATATATTCCTTTACTAAACTCTGGAATACCGGAATTATAGCACATCTCTTTGCGATTTAAATCTGATGATTTTAGAATTACTTGATATGGCTTCAGTAATCACACAGCATGTGCTACTGTAAGATATAGGCTAAACATACACATCCATGGTTTGAAAAAGGTATTAAGAAAAATTTGTGGGCATAAGATGCCAAATTAATGGGAAATGAAATATAGCTGATATGGATACACAACTTTGAGATTAGCATCATGGTGGATAAGTTTTATTCTCTTCCAATTACATCTTGGATTCATTTTCAGATAATTGATGGCTGTGTGGATTATTTTATTATTCAAGATAGCATTTCTTTTATGAAAAATGTTTAATTTTTTCCCAGTAGTTAATAATTATATCTTACTTATTTGGTTTTTTGCTTGGTTTGCTACTATCACCAATAGCAGGAAATTACAGTGGTGAAGAAAATGATGAAAAAGATAATGAAATGAATGTAACAATAAAAAAAAAAAAAACGCTGTCCTCTTGCTCCCTTTTGAACTGGCTGTTTTCTATGATCTCTATCCTGGGATCTCTCTTCACTATCAACCTGGGAGTTATCGTTCTCTCTCTCCTTTGTTGGATTTCTTTTCCCTGATTCCCTAGTTTTCCTGTACCTCCTGTATTCTGCTGTGTGCATATTTCAGTGGCTTCCCAAAAAAGAGAACACAGATGGTGAATATTTTCAAATCTTGGGAAATATTTTTTCTTTCAAATATTAATAGTATTGCTCCATTGATTTTTGTTGCTAGTGTTGCTGTTGAGAAGTCTGATATCAGACTGATTCATCGTCCTTTGTAGGTGACACAAAGGATGAAAACATTTAGAACCATCTCTTTATTGACAGTGTTCAAATTTTTTTTCAAGATGTGCTGGATACTCAGGATGTCTTTTCAGTTTGAAAAGTGTCATCCTTTTCTTTTGAGATGTTTTGTTAAACTGTATATATTTCTGACAATATCCTTTTACTGTAGGTTTTCTGTTATTATTTTATGGAACTCCTACTTTTATATGTTGGATCTTACGAACTGAACTTCTAATTTTCTTATCTGGGAGATTTGCTTATCTTTGCCTCTCAACCCAATGAATATTTTGCTTCTCCTTGTACAGTCTGTGTTTTCTCTGAGTACTTGTTTTTTTTTGTTTGTTTGTTTGTTTTGTTTTGTTTTGCAGGGTGGGGGCATTGCTTTTGTTTTATTTGATTTTGATCTTTAATGTTACAGACTTACTTTAAATATGAGTTACTCCTCCATCAATATTTAAAAGTGAAGAACTAAAAAGTTGGTTGAAAAGTTGTGAGCATAGGTTTGTGTTATTGACAGATGGATTTCACCGGAGAGTGTTTTGACTAGGATTTTTCACTGGGGTTGGGTTCCTAATTATCAGTGTCTTTTCTCTGGAGTTAATCAATTTCACCACATAAAGTCTGCCAATTTGAGCAATGTACTAGCCAAGTGGAGAAGGGGGCTAAGAGTTTCACTTTCAATATGTAGATTTTCATTTAATTGTCCTCTTTTCAGTAAGAGGTTTAGTCTCTCCAGAGAGCAAATCTCATGTCTACTCTTCTGATAGCAAAAGTATAGTTGCCTGACTGGTTGATGTGGGAAGGGTTCTGGATGTTTATCTGTTTTCTATATAGTCAACCTGTTTTCAGCCCAACTTTTAGAGGTACCTGATATCTCAAATTTATGAGCCTTTTTGGGGTACTGCAATACAAGTAAAATTTACTTTTACTAGTTTAAGTTTTGACTTTTCTGGTCTGCTAAATCATTTACCACTTAATTATCTTCCCACCTTTCTGGTTCTCTTTTTTGGAAAATATGTTGTGTCAATCTTTTAATATTAATAATAATTGATTCATAATTATTGATTTTTATAGATAAAAATGAATAATTCTAATATTTTCTTCCTATCCCGATTGTTTTGCCCAATTTCTTGGGGTTTATGCAGCATAATTTGTGCTATATAATAATATAGTGTTATATATTATGACATATATATATGCTATGAATAATATAATGTTAACTTACTTCAAAGAGAACAGAATACTTTTCCTCCGTTACCTGGAGGCGTCATATACTTACTGTAGGCAAAAGGACCACAGTTTTTTTCAAAGTGTGGTCCACAGAACACTTGCATCAGAATCGTCTGGCCTTTCTGTTAAAAAATCAGACTCTAGGCCCCACTTAAAGCCTATTGAGTTAAGAATTCTTGAGTGTGGGCCCTGGGAATCTGAATTTCAACAAATGTCTCCAGATGATTCCCAGCCACTCTAAAGTTTGAGAATTCTTATTCCAGTGTTCTAAAACTTCAAACTTACTATATGATGGAAATCTTCATAGAGTTCCTTTTTGCTTGTTCTCCTGTACTTCTCATGTAGTTTAAGAGAAAAAAATAACGTGTGAGACAGAATAAAAGAGGTTGGGGGAAGTTAGATAGCTAGTTGTTAGATTAGAATGAGTGTAGGGAGTTCAGAAATCGGGAAATAGAAAACATCTACAAGTTGGCAGAAAAAGAGTGGTTATGTGTAGCAAGTCTGGCTTAGGAAAAAAATACTCCCTTTATATTTATATGTGAGCATATTTCATTGTAATTACTTTTTCCTGTTATTACTGAAAAAACATGTAAGTATTGAGGGAATTACTCCTATATGGATGTCAAGGTATAAAAAAGCAATAGACTTTATCAGATGCCTTTAAGCCATGAGAAATATATATTTCTATGATGTTTACCATTTATTAATAAAAAAACTTAATAAGCTTAAACAAAAAATTAAGAAAATTTTCAAGCTTAAGAAAGGCCCAATTCAATTGAAATAACACAATATAATGGTACGATTGCAGAATGTTCACACATAAATTAGTAACTATGGCAGCAGAGATTTTCCCAATAGTGTGGGTAAAATAATTTAGAGAGTATCTTAAGAGATTCAAAAAGGAGAACCTGGGGTAGCAAAATTTGATTAAGGATGCTCAACATGGATTCCGACAGAGGAGGTCATGCATAATTAGTATGTTGGAACTTCTTTAAAGAGCTTTTTATGAAATATGAAGAAAAGTCCATTGATATTACTTGTTATTTAAAAATTAGGCTAGTTTTTTAAATCAGAGATTAATATCTGATTAAAAACACAAAAGAAGAGTTTTAAAAATATGGAATTTGATAATATGGTTTATTCTTAAGATTCTATGAATAGCCAGTTGCCTTTTCATTATTTAATGTGAATTTCTATATATAATTGAGTTATTTTAGAATATTATAAGTAATTATTTATAGTCAGAATTTTTTTAAAAATGAAATTCTAAAAAAAGCAAAAAGAAAAAAGAATGTATTTAATGGAAATAAAAACAAATGAGAATTATCAGTCTAAAGATTCATTTACTTTACTGATGGTAGTTAAGGATAGTCCTTAATATTATTTAGGAGCAGTTAAGACATTAACATGGCCGGGCATGGTGGCTTATGCCTATAATTCCAGCACCTTGGGAGGCCAAGGTGGGCAGATCACCTAAGGTCAGGAGTTCGAGACCAGCCTGGCCAACATGGTGAAACCCTGTCTCTACTAAAAATACAAAAATTAGCTGGGCATGGTGGTGGGTGCCTGTAATCCAAGCTACTTGGGAGGCTGAGGCAGGAGAATTGCTTGAACCTTAGAGGCAGAGGCTGCAGTGAGCCAAGATCGTGCCACTGCACTCCAGACTGGGTGACAGAGCAAGACTCCATTTAAAAAAAAAAAAGACATAAACATGATATTAAATTTGAAAGTTAAAATGTATTTCTGTGTTTTTTATTAAAATTATTTTATAGTTTTTATATGTACATTTTATATTTTAACATATTTTAATTGTTAAGAACATATAACAATAATGGTTACCTTGAAGCATTTATTAGATTAGTGTCCATGCATACCTTACCATTAAAGAATCTTTGATGAACTTTATCGAGTTTCTGGACATTAGAATCACAGGATTTTATGAAGTCTTCTAGTCAAGCTACTCAAAAAACTGAAACTTAGACAAGCTGACTGCCATATCCAAAGTGGATCAAGTGAAATAGCTAGTACTATAACCCATTTTCTGATGTTTAAGAGCAATATTATTTATTATTCAAAACTTCTCTTAATATTACTTTTTCTTAAATTTTAATTCCTAATGTGTCCTGTCTTAAAAATAATTTAACATAACCATTATTTCCTACTTGGAGTAATTAGTATCAGACTGGCCATTCCATTCTATACAACTGAAAAACTGGACAAAATATGTGACAACAATTTTTAGGTATTAGACAACAGGAAGCATCAGCTGTAATGCCTAAGAGAAGGGGAAAAGTTGAAGTGAGTCCTAAAGTTCACTATGTCTTTGTACCTGGAGGCAATTTATGGATCGTAGTAGAGAGAGAGAGAGAGAGAGAGGGAGGGAAAGAGTGAGAGAGAGAGAAGAGAGAATCTGAGAAAAGCACAGTGTTTCCCATAAACTGAAGAGAAAGACATCAAAGTTCTAGGTAGCTGAAATTTGCAGGGCAATACCATAAGAGGGAGCTATTTGTAGAATAGTTCTCAAATTTTGTGTAAGCATCCCCTCATGTCTTTGGCTGACTATTAAGTTGCTTATGCATAGGGTGAACTCCACAAGGTCTGACACAAACAACTGCCAGGAAAAGAACAGCTAATTAGGATGTAAAAGGGAAACAAGTATGGGAGTATGTGCAGGGTAAGGAGACATTTGCATTTTGACCAGTTGGAGAGGAGAGGTCTTGTTGAGCTTGTTAAACAAATTCATGAAGATTCCAGTAAAGATAATTTATATCCAGAAGAAAAGTTGATCAATAGAAACAGACCCCAAAATAGAGTTAACAGAAAAAGACATTTAAACAGTGATTATAAATATGTTCACGTATTAAAAAAAAACATGAATATAATGCGAAGAGAACTGGAAACTTAAAATAGAACCAGTGGAACTTCTAGTTCTAAAAATTACAATATCTTAACTGCAAAAAAAACAAAAAACAAAAAAAAAAACCTGGGTTTAACAGCAGGTTAGATATTAGAGAAGAAAAGATCCGTGAACTTCAAGACAGGGCAATGAAGCTATCCAAACTGCAGTGTAGAGAAGCAGAAGGAAAAGGCTGAAAGCAAGGACTGAGTGTCATTAACTTGTGGGATGATATCAGTGAGTCTAATAGACGTATAATTGGAGCCCTAGAAAGACTGAGAAGGCTGTGAATATTTGAAGTAATAATGGCCAGAATTTTTCCTGAGTTCTTGGTTCATGGAAAACAACCCACATATCTAAGAAGCTCAATGCACCTCTGGTAGAAAGATAACCAGATTAAGGACATAAATCACATTGCTGTAAGCAGTGATAAATAGAAAAGCTTAAAAGCAACCAGAGGGGAGGAAACACATTAATTACAGGGATACATATGTAAGAATAAAAGCTAACTTCTCTTTAGAAATAATGCAAGACAGAAGATAGCAGATATCTTTAAAGTGTAGAGAGAGATAATATGTTTAAAGCGCTGAAAGAAAAAACTGGTTATCTTATTATTTTATATTACATGAAAATATCTTTAAAAAAAATCTTCGAAATAAAAGCATTCTCAGGCAAACAGAATATGAAGCACATGTGTCCAGCAGACCTAAACTATAAGAAATATTAAAGGATATTTTTCACTGGAAGAAAATGATACCAGAAACAAATTTGGGTATGCACAAAGAAATTATTTTAAATGTACCTGGTACATTCACTTTTATAGACCCTTTGCTGCTTATTGAGCCATTCCCAGTACATTTAAAAGGATTAAAATTATTTTAAGTATGTTTCCTGGCTGCAAAAGAATTAAATTAGAAATAAATAACCAAATATATCAGGTCACTCATTCTCCAGCTGTGGAGAGTTGTTTAATGTAGACATTAAACTCCCTTTCATGTATTTATCTTAATTGATTATATTTAAAATTATATATATTATCCTTTAATAGACATTATATATATTATCTTTGATAGACATTAAACTCCCTTTCATATATACACCTATCCTATTAATCTTGTCCTTCTAGATATAGAACTCTAATACAACATAAATTACCAAAACTGAGACAGAAGAAAATTTATATCTCAAAATCTCTCTATGTATTAAATAAATCAAATTTATAATTAAAAACTTTTCAAAAAACAAAATTCCAAGACCAAATGATCTCATTGTTGAATTTTATCAACCTTTCATGAGAAATAATATCAGTTGTACACAAACCTTTTAGAAAATAGAGAAAACAGGAAAACTTCCCCCTCACATGATGAGACTAGCATTATAAAGACATTACTAGAAAAGAAAATTCATACCAATATCCTCCTAATCATAGATGCAAAATTCCTTCAAAAAGTATTAACAAGTCAAATCCAACAATACATCATGATCAAGTGAGTTTTATCCCAGGAATGCAAAGTTGGTGTATTAGTCTGTTTTCATGCTGCTGATAAAGACATACCTGAGACTGGGCAATTTACAAAAGAAAGAGGTTTATTGGACTTACAGTTTCACATGACTGAGGAAGCCTCATAATCATGGTGGAAGGCAAACAGCACGTCTCACATGGTGGTGGCAAGAGGGAGAACGAAAGCCAAGCGAAACAGTTTCCCCTTATCAAACCATCAGGTCTTGTGAGACTTATTCACAACCACAAGAACAGTATGGGTGAAACTGCCCCCATGATTCAATTATCTCCCACTGTGTCCCTCCCACAAAACGGAATTATGGGAGTACAATTCAAGATGACATATGGGTGGGGACACAGAGCCAAACCATATCAGTTGGTTTAACAACAGACAATGTAGTTGACCACCTTAAGAGAATATGGAAAAAGCCATATGCTCATTTCAGTAGGTATTGGAGAGGAATTTGACAAAATTTAATATTCACTTATTAAAAAAACAAAAAAAAATTTTCATAGCAAACTTGAAATAGAAGGGAATTTCTTCAATCTGGTCAAGAATGTCTACTAAACACTGATTTAACTACATACCTAATGATGAAAGACTGAACTGTTTTCCTCAAGATCAGAATCAAGGCAAAGATGTCCTCTCTTTTCATTTCAGCTTAACATGCTATTGGGGGCCCTACCCTGTGATAAGGCAAGAAAAAAGTAGTAAAAAGGGTATAAATTTGAAAGGAAGAAATAAAAACTATTTTATTTATAGACAATGTGATAAGAACATCAAATACCTTAAAGAACCTACATAAAAGCTAGTAGAACTAAGGAATACATTCAGCAAGTTTGCAGGATACAAGGTCAGTGAAATTCTATATGCTAGTGACAATTAGAAAGTGAAATTTAAGGAGAATGGGACGTCTAGCTTCAGAGCGGGAACCTTCGTTGTGACGAAAAAGGGAATTAAATATGGGTGATGTTGAGAAAGGCAAGAAGAGTTTTTGTTCAAAAGTGTGCCCAGTGCCACACCGTGGAAAAGGGAGGCAAGCACAAGACTGGGCCTAATCTCCATGGTCTCTTCGGGCAGAAGACAGGTCAGGCCATTGTATTCACTTACACAGATGCCAATAAGAACAAAGGCATCACCTGGGGAGAGGATACACTGATGGAGTATTTGGAGAGTCCCAAGAAGTACATCCCTAGAATAAAAATGATCTTTGCCGGCATTAAGAAGAAGGCAGAAAGGGCAGACTTGTTAGCTTGTCTTAAAAAAGCTACTAAATGAGTAATAATTTGCCACTGCCTTATTTATTACAAAACAGAAATGTCTCATGACTTTTTTATGTATACCATACTTTAATAGATTTCATACACCAGAATTCAGGTCATGAATGACTGACAGAATATTTTGTTGGGCAGTCCTGATTTAAAACTAAGACTAGCTTCTGGTTAAATGAATATGTTCAGTTTTTGAATTTTAATAGTAATTCGAATTCAGTAAATGCTATCACTGTTTACCCCTTCTAAAGCTATGATTAGACTTCATTAATAATTTTCACCTTTTCACAAAGATGGTGAATGCCATCTTAAAACTTACTGGTGATTGGTTTTATATTTAGATGTATGTAACTGGTTATGTGAATATATTTAAATACTGGGGAAATTCCTTCACTGTCTCAGAACCAAGCAAGATTCACCTGTGTTTTGTGTTCATTTGCCTCTTAAAGGCAAGGGTTGAAGATAAATAAGGTAGCAACGTCTACTTTATATTTTTGGCCCTAACTATGCCAATCTAATTAGAATTCCCTGTATTTAAAATGGTTCCTTTTACTTACTGAAAGGAATTTTAGTGTGGTTTATGTGTAATATCAAAGGTTATTTAACACTTCTCACATTTTATAGATGATCTATGAGGTCATATGCTTTTAAAATAGCAAGTTTTTTTATGTTTAAATTGAGTTTATTTTAGGCAGGCAAAATTGATTTAATGTTTGAGAAATAATTTTATGTAATTCCTATTACAGAATAAAAAATTACAGATAATCTTTTATTATTATTATTATTTTAATTTATTATACTTTAAGTTCTGGGATACATGTGCAGAACGTTCAGGTTTGTTACTTAGGTATACACGTGCCATGGTGGTTTGCTGCACCCATCAAACTGTCATCTACATTAGGTATTTCTCCTGATGTTATCCCTCGCCTAGCCCCCCACCCCCTGACAGGCTGTGGTGTGTGATGTTCCCCTCCCTGTGTCCATGTGTTCCCATTGTTCAGCTCTCACCTATGAGTGAGAACATGTGGTGTTTGGTTTTCTGTTCTTGTGTTAGTTTTCTGAGAATGATGGTTTCATCCATGTCCCTGCAAAGGACATGAACTCATCCTTTTTTTATGGCTGCATAGTGTTCCATGGTGTATATGTGCCACATTTTCTCTATCCAGTCTATCATTGATGAGCATTTGAGTTGGCTTCAAGTCTTCGCCATTGTGAACAGTGCCACAATAAACATACGTGTGCATGTGTCTTATAAACTTCACTCTTGAACTCTTTACAATCTAAGTCAAACTAAGTAATAATTTAGGATTGTCTTTAAACAGCCATTCAGAAACATAAAACTGTAGAACTGCTGTGTATTTGTGATCGGGAATAGTGCTTTTGCCAACTTAAAAGGATTAAAATAGAGGAGATATACACACACACACACACAAAAAAAAGAAAATGAAATGTAAAAATCCAATACCACAACACTCAAACACATGAAATACTTAACTATTCATTTAACACAATATGTGCAAGACTTATACAGTGAAAACAACAAATAATTGCTGAGAGAAATGAAAGAAGGTCCAAGAGATATACCATGTTCATGGACTGGAAACTTCAAAATTATTATGATGCCAGTTTCCTGCAAATTGATCTATATAGTCATCACAATACTCACCAAAATTCAACCAGTCTTTTCTTTGAGGAAAGGGGCATAAATTGGCAAGATATTTCTAAAATATACGTGGAAATGCTAGAAATGCAAAGGAATTAGATAGCCAAATCAGTTTTAAACAGGAGCAAATTTGGAGGATTTATACTACCTGATTTCTTTTAAAAAGTTGTATTTTAGTATGTATTTATTATTATTGTTATTTATTTTTTAAATTGACAAATAAAAATTTTATGTATTTATGGTATACTACATGATGATTTGAAATATGCCTACATTGTGGAATGGAGAAACCAAGCTGATTAACAGTTGAATTACTTTAGATACTTATCATTTTTTTGTCATAAAAATACATAAAATCTGCTTTCTTAGCAATTTTCAAGTGTATAATATACTGTTATTAACTATAGTCACCATGATATACAATCATTCTCTTGAACTTATACCTCCTGTCTGACTGAAATTTTGTGTACTTTAGCCAATATCTTCCCAGTCCTCCCACTCCCACTGCAGTCTCCTGTAATCACCATTCTACTCTCTGCTTCTGTGAGTTTGACTTTTTTTGTTTTCACATATAAGTGAAATCATGTGGTATTTGTGTTTCTGTGCCTGGCTTATTTCACTTAACATAATGCCCTCCAGGTTCATCCATGTTGCTGCAAATGACAAGAGTTTCTCCTTTTTAAAGGAGGAATAGTATTCCATTTACACTACCTGTTTTCAACATCTATTATAAAGCTAAAATAATCAAAACAGGATGATATGGGAATAAGAATACACATAAAGGGCAAAGAAACAAAATGGAGAGTTCAGAAATAGACCCACACATACATGGGTAAATCATTCTTGATAGAGTGATTCAATGGGGGAAAAGACAGTGTTTTTGATAAATATTGCTGAAACAATTGGATATTTCTGTGTGATAAGAACTTACCTCACAATCATTCATGAAAATTGATTTAAATTGATCACAGATCTTATTATAAAGAACAAAACTATACTAATTCTCAGAGAAAACGTGGGAGAAAATCTTTTTAACCTTGGGTAGGCAAATATTTCTTAGGACACAAAAAATATGAACAAAAAATGATTATACTTTGTCTGAATCAAAAAACTTTTGCTCTTGTAAATACAGCATTATAAAAATGAAAAGGCAAGCCACAGAATGAGAGAAAATATCCAGAAAACACGTACTTAACAAAAAACTTTGGTTGAGAATATATAAACATTTCTGAAACCTCAACAGTAAGAAAACAAACAATACAAAAATAAGTCAAAAGATGTGAATGAGGCATTTTACTAAGAAGACATAGAAATCAACCATTAGCACATGAAAAGATGCTCAGTATTATTAATCATCGAGGAAATGCAATTAAATCCATGGAGTTACCACTATACACACATTAAAATGACTAATATTTAAAAGACTGACAATACCAAGTAGGTGAAAATGTGGAGAAATAGCAAATCTTATATTTAGCTGATAAGAATGCAAAATGACGCAGCCACTTGGCAAAACAGTTTGATACTTTCATATAAAGTTAAGCTTACACTTAAATACAATCCTGCAATCTCATTTTTAGATATATACCAAGATAAATAACATATGTCAACACAAAAACTTCTAAGTGAATGTTCATAGTTGTTTTATTTGCAATTAGCCAAATTACAGACAGTAAAAAAGTCCATATACCTGTGAATGGATAAAACATTATTATATATTTATGTCAAGGACTATTTTTCAACAATAAAAAGGAACGAGCATTGTGGTAAATGAATGAAACCAGGTACAAAATATTACATGCCATGAAATTGTAGAACAGACGAACTATTCTCTAGTGAAAAAAACCAGATTATTGGTGACTTAGGGCCAGGAGTATTGAGTTGTAATTGGAAAAGAACATGAGGAATTTTGGAAGGTGGTGGGAATATTCTATATATTCACTGTGGTAGTTACATACGGATATACATTGTTCTACCTGCATCAACTGCACCTACTTAAAATAGGTACAGTTTATTTCATGTACATTATAAATCAACAGAGTAGATTTTAAAAACAAAAATAATAATATGATTAGAATTGTAATCTGGTTCATTTAATTATTCTTAAGAAAATTTCCTCTGGTTATCTACTTCTCATTCACATTCTAAAAATAAAATACCAAAACACCACAGAACACAAATTCACGAGAAATAGCTGCCTTTTCAAATCATATTTATGTTCATTACTAGTGCAAGCAAATAACTAGATTTGGTGTACATTCTTTCACTTACCTTTATGAGAATAAGACAAATAACAGGCCAGCATATTTAGCTCTAGGATTTTATTCAGAAAAGTACCTTTAAGGTACTTAATGAGATGGGTACAAATTTAGCCCAATCTTCTGGCATTTTCTGGTTAACATAATGATAATAATTTTGATTATAAGTCATTTTTGTAAAATGCTGGCCTGAGCAGAGACTTATGCATGGCATTTTATTACATTTTAATTCTTGGAAAATTCATAAACTATTTGACAGCCTTTCAGTTAGCAAAAAAAAAAATTCTATAAAAACAGATTCCCTTTCTCAAAATAATCATAATAAATGGTAGTTCTCTTCTACTGAGCAAGTACAATTAATTGCCAAAGGTGAAGTATTTTTAGTAATCCAAATGATTAGTTTCACAATTATCCATTCATTTTCATAATTTTCAGCTTGATAAATTTCATCTAAAATTATTCCCTAGATTTTTAATTAAATGGTTTGCTTTTTAGGTTTATATAGTGAATACTGTTGTAATCTATTTGGTATACAAATACTCACTGAATTAGCTGAATAGATTTTCATCATTTGAGGAACATGGGACCAAAAAATGTATTTTTCTGTCAGTTAGGATGACATTAGCTGCAAATAACAGATTCCTGATTCAAACAGACTTAAGCAAAAAGGAAGGAAGAAATCCAGAGGTAGGGCAGCACCAACCATAGTATGACAGAATTCCAGCTGTGATTGCTACAGTTTTCTGGAGTTTGTACTCTTTCATATGTTGGTAACAAGATGGCTGCACAGCCAGGTATAACTATATACAGAGGCACAAAAGGACCATCTCGTCTCTATGAATGATTAGCCTTTCCCAGAAGCCCCTGCTTATGTCTCATTGGCCAGAACTGGGTTATGTGTCTATCTTAAGCCATTCACTGACAAGGGGCGTGAGACTACAATAGGTAATTTAGACACATCAAGATAATTGTAGACTGGGCACAGTGGCTCTTTGGGAGGCCAAGGAAGGCGGAACACCTGAGGTCAAGAGTTCAAGACCAGCCTGACCAACATGGAGAAACCCTGTCTCTACTAAAAATACAAAATTAGCCAGGCGTAGTGGTGCACACCTGTAATCCCAGCTATTCGGGAGGCTGAGGCAGGAGAATCACTTGAACCCGGGAGGCAGAGGTTGCAGTGAGCCGAGATCAAGCCATTGCACTCCAGCCTAGGCAACAAGAGCGAAACTCTGTCTCAAAAAAACAGAAAAGCAAACAACAACAACAACGACGACAGAAAGATAATTGTAGTCTTCCTTGAGTCAAAAGGGAAAAGAGTGTATACCTAAACAAAATCAGTATAGTAAGGATGAGGATGGAGAATGGATATTGGATAGGCAGCCAACAGTGTTACTACACATGTGAAGAGGTTTTCTTATTTTATTTCCTAGGACTTGCAAAAAGTCAGTGCTCTGGTACTAAAAAGAATTGGTTTATTTGAAAAAAATTCTTCTGGAATTATGCATACTTTACAGCATAATTTTATAAAAGCAGTCAGAATTTTTTGCTAGCTTATCAGAATCTTGATCAAAAGATATTTATACTAAAATGAGTTTAAATTAGAAATAATATATATTAACTCTTTTATTCATTAATTCAAAATATTTTTTGACTACTAATGTCTGCCAAGTACCTGGATATGGTGGTGAGCAAAACCAACCATGGCCTTGTTCTCATGGAACTTTTAGTCTAGTGGTGGACAAAGAGATTTGTAAAATAAAGACGGGTGTGGTGGCTCACACCTGTAATCCCAGCACTTTGGGAGGCTTAAGCAGGCAGATCATGAGGTCAGGAGTTCAAGACCAGCCTGGCAAACATAGTGAAACCCTATCTCTACTAAAAATACAAAAATTAGCTTAGCATGGTGGCATGTGCCTTTAGTCCCAGCTACTCGGGAGACTGAGGCAGGAGAATCACTTGAACCTGGGAGGCAGATGTTTCAGTGAGCAGAGACCATGCCATTGCACTCCAGCCTGGCTGACAGAGTGAGACTCTGTCTCGGAAAAAAAAAAAAAAAAAGACATTTGTGAAATGATCATATCATTAAATGTGTGTGGAGTAGGTGGCATAAGGAAGGCTTCTTTCCTTTCCTATGAGGCTACTCTCCCCTTTCATATGCTGACCTTTCGATTCCTGGAATACATCCTGCTTGCTCTGCCATGGAGCCTTTTCATATGCTATGTTCTCTGAAATAGTTCCCCACTCTCAATATTCTCCACTTGTTTCCAGATAAATCCAGTTTATCTCTTCTCAGAAGCCTTCCTTATGCCACCTACTCCACATGTAATGATATGATCATTTTATAAATGTCTTTATCCAGCACTAGACTAAAAGCTCCATGAGAACAAGAACCTGGCTGGTTTTGCTCACTGCCATATCCAGGCACTTGGGAGATATTAGTAGTCAATAATATTTTGAATTGATGAATAAAAGAAACATATCAATTTGGGAGTTGTCGGTATGTAAATGGAAGATGAAATGTTGGGGTACCATTTAGATTGCCTTAAGAGAGGGGCAGAAAGAAGGCTAGAACTTATCTTGATAAACCCCAGTGAATGAATATGCATGATCCTATGAAGAAGACAAGAAAGCAGGAGAAAAAATAGTGGATTCTTGTATCTCAGGATTTGTTCATGCTTGATATGGTTTGGTTGTGTCCCCACCCAAATCTCATCTTTAATTCCCACATGTTGTGGGAGGCACCCAGGTGGGAGGTAATTGAGTCATGGGGATGGGTCTTTCACATGCTGTTCTCATGATAGTTAGTCTCATGCGATCTGATGGTTTTATAAGGAGGAGTTTCCCTGCACAAGCTCTCTCTCTGCTTGCTGCCATCCATGTAAGACATGACTTGCTCCGATTTGCCTTCTACCATGAGTGTGAAGCCTCCCCAGCCATGTGGAACTGTAAGTCCACTAAACCTCTTTCTTTTATAAATTGCCCATTCTTGGGTATGTCTTTCTCAGCAGTGTGAAATGGACTAATACAGTAAATTGGTACCAAGAGTGGGGTGCTGCTGTAGATACCTGAAAATGTGGAAGCGACTTTCGAACTGAGTAACAGTTAGAGGTTGGAACAGTTTGGAGAGCTCAAAAGAAGATAGGACAAAATTGGAAAGTTTGGAGCTCCCTAGAGACTTGTTGAATGGCTTTGACCAAAATGCTGATACTGATATGGACAATGAAGTCCAGGCTGAGGTGGTCTTAAATGGAGATAAGGAACTTGTTGGGAACTGGAGCAAAGGTGACTTGTTATATTTTAGCAAAGAGACTTGTGGTATGTTGCCCCTGCCCTAGAGATTTGTGGAACTTTGAAATTGAGAGAGATGATTTAGGGTATCTGGTGGAAGAAACTTCTAAGCAGCAAAGCATTCAAGATGTGACTTGGGTACCGTTAAAGGCATTCAGTTTTATAAAGGAAGCAGAGCATAAAAGTTTGGAAAATTTACAGCCTAACAATTCAATAGAAAATAAAATCCCATTTTCTGAGGAGAAATTCAAGCTGGCTGCAGAAATTTGTATAAATAATGAGGAGCTGAATGTTAATCCCCAAGACAATGGGGAAAGTGTCTCCAGGGCATGTCAGAAGTCTTCACAGCAATGCCCCCCATCACAAGCCTGGAGGCCTAGGAGGAAAAAATGGTTCGTGGGCCGGGCCCAGGGTCCCATACTACATTGCAGTCTAGGGACTTGGTGCCCTGCATCCCAGCTGCTCCAGCCGTGGCTGAAAGGGGCCAATGTAGAGTTCAGGCCATGGCTTCAGAGGGTGCAAGCCCCAAGCCTTGGCAGCTTGTGAGTCCCTACACAGAGTTCCTACTGGGGCACTGCCTAGTGGACCTGTAAGAAGAGGACCACCATCCTCTAGACCTCAAAATGGTAGATCCACTGACAACTTGCACCATGCATCTGGAAATGCTTCAGACATTCAACACCAGCCCATGAAAGCAGCGGCTGTGCCCTGCAAAGCCGCAGGAGTAGAACTGCCCAAGACCATGGGAACCCCCTTCTTGCGTCAGCATGACCTGTATGTGAGACATGGAGTCAAAGGAGATCATTTTGGAGTTTTAAGATTTGACCACCCTGTTGGATTTTAGACTTGCATGGGGCCTGTAGCCCATTTGTTTTCTCCAGTTTCTCCCATTTGGAACAACTGTATTTATCCAATGCCTGTACCCCCATTTTATCTAGAGAGTAATTAACTTGCTTTTTATTTTAATTTACTGGCTCATAGGTGGAAGGGACTTTCTTTGTCTCAGATGAAACTTTGGACTGTGGACTTTTGAGTTAATGCTAAAATGAATTAAGACTTTGAGGGACTGTCGGGAAGGCATGATTGGTTTCAAAATGTGAGGACATGAGATTTGGGAGGGGTCATGAGATTTGAGAAGTGAAATGATATGGTTTGGCTATGTCCCTACCCAAATCTCATATTGAATTTCCATATGTTGTGGGAGGGACCTGATGGGAGGTAATTGAGTCATGGTGGCAGGTCTTTCCCGTGCTGTTCTTGTGATAGTGAAAACGTCTTATCAGCTCTGGTGGTTTTTTTTTTTTTTTTTAGATGGAGTCTCACCCTGCCAACCAGGCTGGAGTGCAAT